>NC_000001.11:234214424-234365939 GCF_000001405.40 Homo sapiens
GGGAGAGACGCGCTCCAGCCGGCCCCAGGATGTAGGCGATCGGCGGCAGCGCTCCTGCAGGCGGCCGGCTCATCATGAAGAAGCACTCGGCCCGGGTGGCCCCGCTCAGCGCCTGCAACAGTCCGGTCCTGACCCTTACCAAAGTGGAAGGTAATGCGCGGCCGCCTCGCCCCGGGGGTCCCTGCACCCTAGCCGGGGAATGCTGCCACCCTGAGGGGGGCTGTCTGGCTGCGGGGCGCCGGGGCTGGGGGTACTGCTCCCCCAGGACGCGGCTCCGCAGTGCAGAGCGCCGCCGCCTGCGTGGGGGGATCTGGCAGCTTCAGGGGCTGCCCTGAGCTCCCTGGCGAGCAGGAGTGAGCTGCTGCGGCGAGTGAGCACCCGGCTCCCCAACCCTCTCCTTCCTGGGCAGCACCCAGCGCATCTGGCAGCAGCTGCACCCTCACCTCCATCCCAGTTTGTCCTGGGGCTCTTGTCTGTTCGGCAGGAGGGGGTCGTCCAGCCGCTCCCAGTGTCCCCTTACCACACACACACTTGAGTTGCCTGGGTGTGGAGCTCTGTGCCTCACCCCCAGGCCGACCAAAGGTGCTGCCCGCAGTTGGTAGAGGCGGGAGAGGGCTGCAGCGGGCTAAGGAGACGTCTGTCCTGCGTGTTCCGAAGCCTTTCCGGCCACCAGCCAACTGACTGCCCTGCTCTTTGGGAATGGGCGGGGCGCACAGGTGAGGGAAGAGCCAGCACCAGTCTGTAAACAGGCTCTTTCCCAGGCCCTGGAGAGGGATTGGAAGGGCTGTGAGAGGCCCCCAGAAGGTGTCCTCCTCCCCGTGTTGTCCTTTCTGCCTGGAACTGCTCCCACCCAGGAAATGTGAGCGAGAGGACAGGGGAAGAAGCAGCCCACCGAGGAGAGCTTCCTCAGACACAGCTGGCTTCTGCTGGCCTAAGGGGCCTTGCTTTCCAATGGAGAAGGGGGGCAGAGGGCCAGTCCCAGTTCTTAACTCCTCCTCCCAGGAGGCAGAGGTGGAATGACTAACTCCCTCTGCCAGGAGCAAGCCACCTTGGCCAGGTGAGGCAGACAGACCATCCCCTGGGTCCCAGGAGCTCCCCTCTAGGCTTTTGCTTGTGCTGAGCTAACAGAGCCCATGAGCATCAGCGGTGAATGAGGGGCAGCCATGGGCTCCGACAGAGCCTGGCTTCTGCCCTTCCCAGGAAGCCTGGACTTCTCTAGGCTACTGTTGACCCTGCTTCCCACTCGTGACTTCTTGTTTATTACAATGAATCTCAGAACCAGCGAGGACAAGACAGAGGCTGGCTTGGTAATTGTATATCCCAAGCTTAGCTGTCCACACAGGCCTGCCTGCAGCTGCCCTAGTACTGTGATCCCCATCCTACTGAGGAGCACTGTGAGGCCCAGCAAGGTGGGTTAACGTGTCCTAGACCCACAGTTGGTAGGTGGTGAAGCAGGAATGGAATCCTGGGCTGTCCGATCCAAAGCTCAAGCATTTTTTCCAGAACATCAGTTTGCACTGAACTGCAACTACTTACCTATTTCTCAACATTTTCTATCTTTAGGAGGTTGGGTTTTTTTCCTTCTTGTGGCTGTCTTCTTCTCTCCTCCATCCCAACCTCAGGAATGACTTGATATCAGCCATCTACACCTGAGTTTAGTGCAAGTGCTACCTCTTCCAGGGGTGTTTGTATTTCTAAGCCTACCCAGACATTGCCCACATGCATGTGTGAATTGGGGAGGGAAGGATTGGCCATTTATTTCTCTGAGGGAAGCAGGGAGTGAGTGTCTGCTCACTCATAGGGTCCTCATGGGAAGCTGCCCACTCCTACCTCCTAGTAGGACAGATTGGTTCTGCTCTCCAGCAGCAGGGGGTCTCCCTGGGAAACTCCCAGCCCACCTTAGGCAGGACAGGTTCGAACTGCACTGGAAGTGGGGCAGGACGCGGATGGTGGGGCTACCTGAACTGGGTGCTGTGGCCTCAGAGGTGCTGCAGGAGGCAGTGAGTGGCATGCGAGGCACAGGTACTTCCCTATGGCCAAGCCTGGAGGTTGCCTTCAGGGAATGAAAGTGAAAATTATCTCCCACTAACCACCAACCCCCCAAAAAGTCCCTTAGGGCTGCTGCCAAAAGAGCTTTGAGTCTCCTGCACCTGCTAACGCCAGCAGCTGCCTCGCCACGGGCTTGGCTTTGGAACTAGCATTTCCTCATAAATGCCTGTGGATAACGGAAATGTATAGTGAACTAAGAAATGGTGAGATTGAGGATCAAGACTGGGCCCTGCCCCTTTTCCAGTTGGATTTGTGTAAATCACGAACACAGCCTCAGTTTCCGCAAACGTAAAAGAGAAGGAACAACCTACTTCAGCAGGCTGTGAGGAGATGCAATAAGGTAGAGGTAGCTGAAAATGCCTGGCAAGCCCCCAGTTGCATTTTTCGTGGGATACCTACAAGTATCCCATGCAAAATTCTGCCCCTCGGGGCCTCATAAAACCTGCTCTTGGTATGCCTGGCTCACATATAGCTCTTTCTCTCTGCCTAGTTTTTTTCCTTGGTGTTTTTATTCAGTTTGGCTTTTGGTCTATTTTTTGGAAACCATTTGCATCTTATGTGCTGGTTTTGGAAGTGTTGAATCATTTCATTTTAACTTGAATGCACAGGGCAAGGTGGTCCCCATGCTGTGGGTGTTTCTGTATGGATGGCAGACAGGCTACAGGGAGGGAATGCAGCCAGCGAGGAATATTTATTAGCTTGCAGAGTGTGTCATCTAAGGGGAGGCAAGAAGGCACCAGCATGTGGTACATATAAAACCAAAATAGAAAAGGCAAAGCTTGGTTAAACTCAAACACAGGAAGATGGGCAAGATGACTTCATTTACTCAACAAATACTTCATCCAACCCTACTCTGTGTCCTGTGACAATTTAGCAAGGCCCTGGAAAGGCAAAAAGGAACAATTCTAGCTTCATTCTCTTAAGGACGTTTTAGTCTAGAGGGGAAGAGACATACAGATAGATAGATAAATTATCAAATACAAAGTAGTAAGTTCTGGTATCGAACTGAAAAGCAAGGTGTCACGGGGACACTGAGAGTTGAGCAATCTGAGGAGGTGTTCCTGAGGAGGAGGCCTTCATGAGGAGGAGGGTTTCTACAGAGGAATACTTTCTGAGGGGGGCCTTTCTGAGGGGAAGGCCTTTCTGAGAAGGAGGCCTTTCTAAGAAGAGGCCTTTCTGAGGAGAAGATATTCCTAAGAAGAGGAGGCTTTTCTGAGAAGGAGGGCTTCTAAGGAGAAGGCCTTGCCGGGGAAGCCTCCTCAGAAAGATCTCTGAGGAGGAGGCCATTCTAACAAAAGGGCCTTTTTGAGGAAGAGGCCATCTAAGAAGGAAGCCTTCCTCAGGAAGAGGCCTTTCTGAGGAGATATTCCTGAGGAACAGGCCTTTCTAAGATGGAGCCATTCTAAGGAGGGGGCCTTCCTGAGGAGGAGGCCTTATGAGGCATCACAGCTGAGGCTGGGGGGATATGAGAAAGCTTGTTGGTGCAGAGGGGAGGAGAGGCAGTTTCAGGCAGAGAGAACATGGATGCTAGGGCTCAGCCCAGAAGCATGAGGAGAGTGGGGCTGGGCCTTAGATAGGGGTTAAGGTTTGAAAAGTGTGTTCTGGCGAGATTGATGGCATCTGTCATGTCTAAAAACATACCTTGTTTTCACAGATCCTTTGCTTGGCTTTCCTTTCAGAAGCAGAGCATTGGTCAGTAGCACATCTCTAATAGACTAGTGTTTACTGGGATCAGCTCTACTCACAATCAACTCATTCATGTTCAGTGAAATTACATTCAATAGGGATTAATCATTGAGAACAGTACAATGAATTCCCCCAAGAGGCGTGCAGCAAGTAGTGTTGTGGAAAGGGTGAGGGCTTTGGAATTAGATGGACTGGGTCTATCCAGCTGTCATGCTAGGTGAGTGATTTCTGGCTAATGAATAAAGCTCTCCAGGAATCAGTTCCGTCCTAGGAAAGGAGGGGTGATGACATCTTGCTCTTAATACTCAAATAATAGTTTTTGCTAATGAATGCCTCCTATATTGCAGGTACTATGCTAGGAGAGATTGTTCCATTATCTCTATTTTTTCCCTAAGCAAGGGTAAGTATTGTTATCCAACTTTATAGATAAGGAAACTGAGGCTCAGAAAACTCATTCACGAAGGAACTGTAATTAGAAAGCAAGGATCCCAGGCTTCAAATCTATATCTACCTGGCTGCAAATGTTGCAAGACCTTTGCACAACTGCATTTCATTTGAGTAGGAGAGAGAATTATATCAGCTCATGGCACTTTGTAGATGCTCAGTAAATGCTCCCTAAAGCTCCCATTGTATGTAATTCCAGCAGTTTGGGAGGCCGAGGTGGGTGGATCATGAGGTCAAGAGAGCAAGACCATCCTAGCCAACATGGTGAAACCCTGTCACTACTAAAAATACAAAAATTAGCTGGACATGGTGGCGTGCACCTGCAGTCCCAGCTACTTGGGAGGCTGAGGCAGGAGAATCACTTGAACCCAGGAGGCGGAAGTTGCAGTGAGCCCAGATCATGCCACTGCACGCCAGCCTGGTGACCTGGTGACATAGAGAGACTCCATCTCAAAAAAAAAAAAAAAAAAAAAGCTCCCACTGTAATATAACTAATATAACTCAGTGGTTGGGACCCCCATGGGGGGTTCATAGGCCCCATGGCTGTGTGCCATATTCTTAGTGCCTCTCCTTTGGGAGTGTTGGGTGATCTCAGCTGCCCCCAGAGTAGGTCTGACTACCTTGTTCCTGTCAACAGGATAAGACGGTTATCCTGGAATGCTCAATTAATAGTATATAAAGACCCAGGATGCTGGCCCAGTCCAAGAGGATTCTTGAGAAGTATACTGCCAAAGAGTTTCCCCAAACCCAAAATATTTCCCTGATTGGCTAGCTCTAGGTCTGAAACTTCAGTGGCAAAAGTCATTCATGTAGTGATCAAATATTTTACCTAATATACGCAAGAGAATGAACCAGATGTTTGGGAGGATTCTAAGAGGAGTGAAACATAATCCTTGATCCAACAGAGCTTCCAATCGAGTGAGGAATGTCAGAAAGGCATACCAATAAAGAATGCATGCTGAAATGTAATGTTTTTGATTCTATGGAAGAAGTATAAAGTAAATGTTGCATTTCAGCTGAGGGTGAACTCAGTTCTGGCTGGGACGCAGATGGCCCCTGCGCAGCACTCTTGCTTGCCGTCATTACCCCCTTCTTCGCCAAAATGACCTGATCTGACAGGATACTCTTTCCTGCTGAGCCTGGATGTGGCCTCAGAATTCTTCTTGTCACCACACTCCAGGTGACGGCCTAAACATTTATTGGAACTGCTTTTCCTGGAAGCACGGTCGGGATGGCATGGTAGAGGAGTTTGCCTCTGCCCTGGGCTGTCAGAGGTGGGAGGTGAGAACACAGCATTTCCTGACAGAGGGAGCCACAGACGAAGGCGCAGAGCTAGGAGAGGGTGGCGCTGGGAGACCAGCAGGCAGTCTACTGGGCCAGAGCGTAGTGATCAGAAGAAGCAGGAGGAGGGGAGGTTAAGCTAGACCATGGGCAGATGCTGAGGCATCCTGAACGCTGGACTCGGAAGACAGGATTGAAACAGGGGGAGCCAGAGAAGAGAAGAAAACACCATCCGAAACTGAGAAAAGACGGTCATGGGCAGCAGTGGTGTTCAAACTGGGTTATGAAATCTCTTTCATCAGTCGCAATAAGTATTTCTTATCAAAGGAATTAGAATAGAATAAAAACTGCCACTGTCTATCAAATGTAATAAGAGACAGAGTGGATCCAAGATGCTTTCATTTCAGGGGTGTGTGTGTGTGTGTGCTCATGTGTACATGCTCATACGTGTGTGTCATATTGAAGGTATAGCGAAAAATTTTTTAAACTCTGCTGGAAAGTATCCAGTGGTGACAAGGAGACATGTTGGGGAGTGACAGCAGCAGTCCACACATGAGCTCATGGTAATAACTGCGGTAGTAATATTTGCTTCCTCCTCGCCATGAGCCCTTGACCTGGGTTGCCTCATTTAGTCCTCACAACATGCCTCTACAGTGGCTCCTAACGTAATTCCCACTGTGCAATGAGGACTTGGATTGCAGGGGGATCAGGTAACCCACTCTCTGAGACAACTGCCATGTGGTATGCCCACGTCCTAACCACTGTACCATCTGATGGCAAGGACAAGGACAGGATAGAGGAGGAATCAACAGGCTGTGGTGAGAGTGTGAAGTAGGAAGGCTGAAAAGAGCCATGAAATACAGCTTTGAAGATTATGCCTAAACAATTCTGGGAATGGAGATGCCATTAGCAGTAACAGTGAAGATAGGAAGGGAAACTCATCTGGGAGGGAGAGATGGGGGAGTCACGTTTAGAAAAGTTGAGTTTGAGGCCAATGCCTGCAAACACAGGTATGTAGGAGGCAGGGAAGTGGCAGAAAGAGGTGGTGAAGCCTGAGAAACCAATCAGGTGATATGGAAATAAATGGGCAAGCACAGAATCCTGGTGACCGTGCACATTTAGGACATAAGGGAGGCAGGAGAGAAGTTTGACCGGCCAGACCAGAGAACTCAGATAGTACGGTGGCATGGAGACAACCAGAAGAAAACCGAGAAGAAAGAGAGAGAGTGATGTGTCAGATGCAACCAAGAGAGGGTGATTTTGTGGAAACAGTTTTAAGCGGGTGCTGGTCTGCCAGCCAGATTGCAAGGGTGGGTGGGGGCATTACTGGATACTTGGTTGAAGTGTTTGACAGTGAGGGAAGTTTGAGAAGCTATGCTGTCTTAAGGGGGAGGGAGATAACTTTTGAGAGAGCCAGGCTGATTCCAGGGCAGGTCTGAGGTTGCCCCGAAAGAAAGATGATTGATGCAACAATTAATGCAACGGTGGCCTAGAGGAGGCAGCATACCGGGGAGGAAGCACAAGACAGAGAAAGGGAATGATCGGCTTTGAAAAGGAACAGAGAAAGCTTAATGGGCAAAGACAAGAATCATGAAGATGCAGAGGAGGGAAGCTAAGGGAGCTGTGCTGGTGACTTTGATCTTTGTAATGTAGGAAGTGTCATCGTTTGCCGCAAATGATGGATGGGGACTGAAGACTTGAAGAGGTGGGAAAGGGTTCAGAACAGCCCTATTGGGACATCCAAGAAGAGATTTAATTCTTAAAAGCCTTTTTGGCGCATAATACATTTCCATTGGTTAAGACATCATGTAGCTCAGGAGAAGGGACTGGAGGGAAGAACACTGGATGAGGTGTCAGGACATTCAAGTGTCATTTTCTGCTCCTCCATTAGCTAATTAATATATTGGACATGTCGCCTGGCCTCTTGCAGCCTGGGCTTCTCCTGCTGCAAAGAAAGAGGATTATAATAGATCTTCCATTGTCTTTTTAGGCAGGAACATTCTAAGAGTCTACTAAGTAGCTTAATCATTAGCAGAGATTGGCTTATCTGATTAAAACTCTTCATTAGCTATAGTCAGAGAGCAGAGCTTTGAGGAATTGAGACCAGGAACAATAAGGAATCTAGCATGTGCATGTATGTGAGCATATGTGTGCATGTAAACAGGTGCTCTTTCTGAGAGTAGATTTTGGTATTTGAGCAGGGGATGGAAAGACTAGCTACATGAGTACAACTTGCTCCATGAGACAGAACCCCAGATGATGTGATGGCATAAAAGGAGGTACAGAAAGAAGCCAAAGAGAAGCTGTGCATCTTCCAAGCTTTGCCTGGGGCTGGTCTCAGTCCCTGTGTTTCTGTGTTAAATCTCAATGCCCAGGAATGAGCTGAGCCATGTCACCCATTGTTGGTTCAGAATGTCTATCCTTGGGTAGGAGATTAAGCCTGAGAGGTCATGTTTAATACCTTAAGGCCAACCCCACCTTGGTCCTTGACCAAGCAAGTTTAGTCCTGCCTTGTTGATGCATAACGACTCTGCTGAGAACTGGAGTTATGTTTGAGAAAACGGTGTTTTAATTTTGCTCTGTTCTGCTCATTTTCATCTAACACTCCATCCAACCAAAACCCACACCTCTTCTGATTAGAGGACCAGAGATGCCATACTCCCCCATCCCCCCATAGCTGCCCAGCACCGCCTTGGTGAGTCTGGTGGGCTGGCCACTTCACAGGAGAAGGCTCCAGCATGTCCCTCTTCCTCAAGAGCCCTCAGGCTGCAGGAGAGGGCAGTGTCTTTGCCTGGAGGTACTGTCCTGCATATAACCTGCCCTCCTGTAAAACTGTGGTTCATCCTTTGCATTCCAACAGCCAAATTTCAGTCCACATAGAAGCCAAAGAATCTGGAGATGCTAACAATCTGATGAGGAAAAACACCAGCAAAGAGGAGTATGCATATTTGTCTGGGTTTTGTGTGCAGGTCATTAGCAGCACCAAAACATCACCAGGTAAACCAACTGGTGTATATGGAGGCATCATGTGCCCAGGCCACAGAAAATGGTGAAATTCCAGGAGGCTGCACAAGCCATAACTAGCAGTGCATATGGATTAAAACTGATGCCCTCAAGTTCAGATGCTTTCAGACCAAGTATTAAAACATAGCGCTCTGCTTCCTCCCAAGAGGAGGCGCTGACTCTTCCCCCAGGGCACAAACAGTATTATTTAAGGCTTACCCATACCCTGTCAGTTTCTCGAGAGTCATGATTCACCTTAGGCTGAGTACATTCCAGGACTGTCTTAAATCCACTGCATGAAATTATTCAGACCTTTGAGAGTTATTCGGGACCTCTAAGGAAATGGAAGTGAGGTAGAAATGCCGATTTAGGTGTCTGATTACTGAGATGGTGATGATGGGTGGGAAAAGTGAGCTGGATCACGACCTGACTCTTACCAGCTCTCAGACTGCTTCAGAGTAGATCAGACACATCTCAAAGAAGCCTCCACCACCCCATTCCAGCCCCAAAAGGCAACTTTTGTTCACCTCCTGATTCTTTATCCTAACCAGAGGAATAATTTCCCAGTGCAAAACACTAATTTTGTTTTTAAACACAACTTCACAACTCTCATGTTTTCTCCTAGCTCTACACACTGCCTCCAGAAATAACTTTACAACAAAGATTCAAGCAATTCACAGGAGGCAAACAAATATAAGATAGCATATAATATTTATAACCCAATAAAGTTATTTATTCTCCTAATAGGTTATCAAAATAGATACTCTGCCATCTGTAGCATGTCATACACATTCTGCAGAGTGGTGGCTCTTGGTCCATGCCTTACACCTTCTCAAGCACAGTACACTCTCTACTGTAACCCCTTGTATTAGCTAGCACCACCATAACAACATATCATAGCTTTTAAAAAAGGACATTTTTTTACTCACAGTACTGGAGGCTGGAAATCTGAAATCAAGGTGCTGGCAAATTTAGTTTCTGGGGAGGGCTCTCTTCTTGGTTTGCAGATGGCCGCCTTCTGTGTCCTCACATGACCCCTTCTCTTGATGTGTGTATGGAGAGAGAGAGATAGAAAACAAACTCCCTGATGTCTCTTCTTATAAGAAAACTAATCCTACAAGATTAGAATTCCATCCTTATGACCTCATTTAACCTTTTTCGGTTTTTTGTTTGTTTGTTTGTTTGTTTGTTTTTTAAGACAGGGTCTCACTCCTATGCCCAGGCTGGAGTGCACTGGCGCAATCACTGGTCATTGCAGCCTCAACTTTCTGGGCTCGGGCAATCCTGCCACCTCAGCCTCCCAGGTAGCTGGGACTATAGGCAAGCACCACCATGCGCAGCTAATTTTTTGTATTTTTTTATAGAGATGGAGTTTCGCCATGTTGCCAACACTGGTCTTGAACCCCTGGGCTCAAGCAATCCACCCATCTCGGCCTCCCAAACCTCTGGGATTACAGGCGTGAGCCACTGCTCCCAGCCTCTTTAATTTTAATTACTTTCTTAGAGGCCCTGTCTCCAAACACAACCACACTGGATGTTAGGGCTTCAACACGTGAATTTGGGAAGAACACAATCACTCAGTCCATAACACCCTCTTTCCAGAATAGCATATCCTAGTGCAGGGTCCCATACACACTCAGTCTTTTCCATGTTACAAATGTGTTTCTGTCCTCTGCATACCTGAAGTCCCTCTTTAGTGACATGCAGTTCTGAATGAGATGTTCAGCACCATGACCTTGGTCAACTTTCAAAGGGGAGAACGAGAGGAATGAGTACATTCTGTATTCCCGTTGATGCTCTGGAGTCAAACAGAACCAAGTTAAAACAGTGCCTTAGCCGCTCACTGATTTGTATCCTTGGGATATTAACTCTCAGAACCTCAGCTGTCCAATATACAAAAGAGAAATAACCTTACTGATCTCCACCATCATGATGGATATAAAAAGATATGTAACATCTACTGGCAGAGAGTGTGGTGTATGTATTGGGTGTCTAACCACCACTTGCCCCTTTAATTCTCCATACTATCTCCTTTTCCTTTACCCACGGTCAACACCTAACTTCAATTATCTATAGATTATGTTCTTTCCCTGGAACCTATGCTAGTCAGGAGCATGACTGGGGCTTCGGCCGCATGTGAATGGTGGCAGCGTTTTCTGACCCAAAGTCCAGGAATCCATATGGATGATCTGGAAAGGGCAAGTGGGTTGGGACACGTGAAGTGCGAATTGCTTTGGGACGTTTGGGGCATGTAGTTGGCCTTACGCGTGTGAAAGCCTTTTCTGCAAGTCTCCCCCCCTTTCCTCTACATCACTGCCTAAAAATAATGTCACACATAAATTCACTGAGCAAGTATTTAATGAGTAGAAAAGATAAACAAAGCCTGAAATGGATTGTTTGGAAGACAAGTTACACTTGCAAATGGCCATAAACAAAAGCTTTCTTCTAAGCTCCTCATTTTGCAAAACTTTTTGGTTTGTTGGCCAGGTCCTGGGATGGTGTACTCATCAGTAATCAATAAATGGGAAAGTTTTCATCAGACCCTGTCTTTCATGCAGTCTAGGAAAAAGGGGCAGGAGTTGAGGGATGGGGGAAGCTGGAACTCTAGTTTCCAGAGCAGCTCTCAACTGTATCCCATTTGGACGCAATTAGATGCACTTAAGCCTCTAAAATGTGGGTACTTTAAGCACTGCCACTTGGACTAAGCAAGCTCCATGAGGGAAAAGTTCTATCTGCCTTGTACCGCAAAGTAGGTGGTCAAATAAGATTTGTTGAATGAGTGGCCTAAAAACTAGTCCACCCAAGAGAAATAAATATATATCCACACAAAGACTTATAGGTGAATGTTCATAGCAGCATTCTTCACAGCAGCCCCAAACTGAAAGCAATCTGCATGTCCATCGATAGATGAATGGATAAGCCAAATTTGGTATATCCATACAATGGAATTCTCTTCAGGCATCAAAAGAATGAACTGCTGACACACGCTACAACGTGGATAAACCCCAAAGACATGATGTTAAATGAAAGAAGTCAGATGTGAAAGTCTGTATATGTATATGAAATGTTCAGGATATGCAAATTATTATAGAGACAGAAAACACATTCATGGTTGTCTAGGGTTGAGGCTGGGAACAGGGAGAACTTCAAATGGGCACAAGAACTCGTTTCGGCATGATAGAAATGTTCCAAAATGATACTATGGTAATGGTTTCACAATTCAAATTTGCTAAAACTTACTGAGTTGTGTACTTAACTGAATTTTATAGTATGAGAATTATATCTCAATAAAGCTGTAAACAAATAAAATAACTCTATAGACCTTACTGAAATAGATGTCAGTTGCAAGGCATCATCTCCCATTTCCTGTGCAATTCTATCTCCTTTACATTTGAAAGGCTTGAGTCACACCAGCCAGCTGGTGGTCTTTGATCCCCGCTCTGGGTCCCTTACCCTAAAGAAAGGACTTGAGCACTTTCTAAGGGTAAACTCTCTGGAGACTTTTTCAGAAAGGACTCAACAAGGGTCCACTTATTCTCGGGGAAGCTCATAAAAGAAACATTATTGGTCTCTTGAAAGTTCAAAAGGGCCATTTTATGAGATGAGAATGAATGACTTTCCATTCTTTCTTGCTTTTCATTGTAGAAGTGACTTACATTAAGTTAAAAAAAAAAAAAAAAAGCACCCAATTCATCATTTTCTCAGGCCTAAGCAGTGGACAGCTCATGGGACTAAGGATGTGCCTTGGTACCCGAATGAGTTGGTAGCTAACCTCGACCTTCAGCTCACCCATTGTGACCTGAGTTTCCTTCTGCTGTGCAGACATTGCCTCTAGGTACTACTTCTGCTTAACCAAAGAGTGTGAATCCTTTCTCTCTTTGGTCAAGAGTCTTTGGTCACAAGCAAAAAGTGTGATTTTGCAGGTGGCGGGTTTATTGCCTGACAGCCCTCAGGACACTAAGACAGGGCTAAAATGGAAGCTCACACACAGGCGTGGTTACATCTCACCATGCCATGGAGTATATAAAGTGCACAAAAGAACACTCCCCCTGCACTGGCGTGCGCGCACGCGTGCACACACACACACACACACACACACGTGCTCAATGGAAGCAACTCAGGCAACAGAACTGGGATGAACCCGCCTGTCCTCCAGCATTTATGGATGAATTAAGTAGCATAAACAGAATTTAGAGGTGACACAGCTTCAGGGAGATGTTTGAATCCACAATTACAGCGTCTGTCAGCACGAGCATTGGGCCAGAGTGTATAATCTACTTTGCATTGCTCCCAGAACTGCTGGCTAAAGTACAAGATTAGAATTTAAGGCACAAGATGATCATAAACAGAGGGATTGTTAGTGGGGAAGGGGTGTTGGAGAGTGAAGGTGAGGGTGACATAAATAGTATTTCTAGTTGTGTACTAATGGTCCCAGGAGCTGTGGCAGTAAACAGTGTGAGACAAATTTTGGCATCGATTTCCTTGAGGCACTGCCTCTTTCTTTCTTTTTTTTTTTTTTTTTTTTTTTTGAGATGGAGTCTAGCTCTGTTGCCCAGGCTGGAGTCCAGTGGCGCAATCTCGGCTTACTACAAGCTCCGCCTCCCAGGTTCACGCCATTCTCCTGCCTCAGGCTCCTGAGTAGCTGGGACTACAGGTGCCCACCACCACGCCCGGCTAATTTTTCGTATTTTTAGGAGAGACGGGGTTTCACCATGTTAGCCAGGATGGTCTCGATCTCCTGACCTCGTGATCCGCCCACCTCGGCCTCCCAAAGTGCTGGGATTACAGGCGTGAGCCACCGTGCCCGGCCGGCACTGCCTCTTTCAACTGTGATAAAAGAGTGAAATCAAACAAAGGCAACACTTGACCTGAAATTTTGGAGGTGGGGGGCAGAATTAAACAAAAGTTTCCTACACTTAGAAGATTTGAAAGGCTTCTGAAAAGAGATATAGCTTCCTCATTGTAACTCCTTCTGTCTGAAACCTGTTTGAGCATCAATTGGCCAGTTCATTGAAAATGACCCTAGAAATGATGTCAAGTGTGGGGTGCATTTGTTGCATTTCCAATAGTAGAAAATAAATGCATCTGCTAAGCAAAATTATTGTGTCACTCTACATTTATTCTTCAACTAATTATATTACTTTGTTATGGATGTTGTGGCTTGCACTTCCTTAATAAAGTAGGATCAGTCCACATCTGAGTTTGCTCCAGTCCCTTCAGCAAACCTGGCAGTTTCTCCTGTGGCATGTCTAACCAAAGCAAGATGAGGCATTGCAGAGTGACGAGATGGCAGTGCATTTCAGATCTCACCACCATCCTCACTGCCCCTCCAGGTCATGTGTATTCCTGACCCTGAACTTTGCTCCTATTTTACTTACTTTTATGTTCTATCCTCCAAGACCCAGGCCAACCACCTGCCTCTTCTGATTCTTTTCACTATTATCCCAATGCACACTGGCCACGCTCTCTGCAGAATTCCTGTTATATAGTCAGAATCTCTATTTTACACGTAATTGTTCTGTAATTCCTTCATGGATCTTTCGTCACTCTGACATAGACTGTCCATTCCTGAAAGATGGTAATCATGCTTTACACTTATTTATAGACCACCCAAAGCTCTTGGCACAGGGCACATGTTTCACAGTGATTTCCTGTCTGATTGAAAGGCTCTGAGGATGCATTGCACCATACATAGCCCTGTGAGATGTAAAAAGTGCATGCCGTTCATTATAAGTTAGGTTAAATAAATGAAAGATAAAAACACAGTGTGATCCCAATTTTTCAGTGTGTGTGTGTGGGTTTGTGTGTCCATTTGTACTAGGGGCACGGTTCTGCTGAGAGGGGTGTGTGTATGTGTGTGTGTCTGTGTGTTGCACAGACACAAAAGACTAGGGAAAATGCGGCAGCCAATGTGAATTGTGATATCCCTGGGTGCTAACATCACTAAAAATTGCTTTTTCTTTTTACTATTTAGCACTTTTGTGATGTATGTATAAAGAATACTTTTTATTTATATGAGGTGTGACGTGTTTAGCAGTATGAAGAATGAGGTAATGAAATTGATGAGTGATTATTATTATTATAAGAGACACAGTATAGTGAAGTGGGAGGTTTGCAATGAATGGGGTTTGGTTGTCTATTATTCTTTATGGGTATATTCCAGTGTTTCCCAAAGTATGTTCCAGAGCACAGTAGTCCCTACCACAGGCGTTACACATTTAAATAATATGGGAAGCAGCCTCTTGAAAATTCACAATATCCATTGACCCTGAATATTCCTACAGCAAAGGAACCTGTCTGTTCTACTTGGTGTTTTTCAAATCTATCCAAGCATGGAATATGTTTTCCTTATAACGCCTGTTAACTGCATTACATTTTGGAAAACGTTCTATTTATATGTGGTTATTTTCAAATAACAGTGTAGTGAGTTTGGTTCTAAGTGTCTTAATTTTTTTTGTAATTGTTCATATTCCTTTGTTTTGAGGATCCAGAGAGGTTACAAAGTTAGAGAACAACTTCTTTAATCCAAATCCATAGAAACATTTTAGCAATACCAAATTACATGATTTGATGATTTTCTCCTTCATTGTAAAAGCTATGCAGCATCACTGCCTAGTTTGCTAAGTTTTAAAGCTTAATTTGCTATAATGAAAACATTCAATGAAGAAACATGCTGTGAGCTGAATTTATTCAGCCTCTTTTGGAGTCCATTCTTTCACTGGAAGTTATTACTGTGAAGCTGCATTTTATTTTTGTGAACTTTTTTTTCATCTCTACAATCATCTTTTCAGGATGAGTTTTTGACAGTGATGCTAATAGTGACAAACCCCTCTAACCTCCAACACTCCTTGCAAATTATCCCGATAATGAACAGCTGCAGATGTTAATTCAAAATGGCAGGTAATCCGTGTGTAAATTGAAATGTGCATGCTTCTGTCTGAAACTGCAATTGCATTAAGTTGTGGAAATTCACGGTGAGGAAAGTCAAGAGATCCTGGTAGGAGGGCATAAGCGCGCAGATCCCCCAAAAGGCTGGAAATCAATCTTCCTTTTTGTCCTCCACATCTTTCTGCCCTGCAGCCCATGCAGGAACAGACGGCTTGTCAGAAGCTCAGAGGGTGGCGAGACATTTGGTTTTCCAGGGGCTTTTCAACTTGGATATGTGAGCACATGAAAAGTTAGAGAAGGAGGGAGGTTATTAATAAAGCAAGTAATGAAGCACAATAGAGATGGTGTGAAACAGTTTGGCCCAATAAAGTACATTATCTCTCTTTGACTAACCATGTAATGCTTCGGTTTATCTTTGGCTAAAACAGATACAGCACAGCTGGTGGTTAACGATATTAGCTAACACCTGAAAAATAGATTACATTGAATCACAATTTTGCCTCATAGACTCATAATGCTTCAGAAAGTATGATATACAAAACTCAGTTTGTTATTAAAGTTATTTAAGTTTAAGCAATGTAGAGAAAGCACGTTTGACCCCAATATATTCAGGACTCATCTCCTCCCCTAGAGTGAAAATGGCCTCTTAGCACTAATGTGCCTCCATTCAGCTAGGTGCCAGGCACAACATCATTATAAAAGGCAAGTACACTGCCTTCTGGAAATTTGCATCCATCCGTAGTTACACCCGACACAAGCTACAGCTTTGTTTAAATTTCCAGCTGACTGACACGCACACAATCATGAATGAAAAAGCAAACAGTGGAAAATAACGCCTTTTCACCTTCCTCTGGTCTGCGGGAACAACACTGCCGCAGAGCCAAGCTTTGGGCTGCAGCCTGGTTTCCAGAAATCACACCGCTCTAGAATGGAGTGTCTGTGGCCTTTCACACACCAGCTGCCAGAGGTTGTGGTTTTTAAGTAAAGCTTCGAAGTGGGACTGGAGGCTATCAGCAGGAAGCCAGTTAAAGCAGATAGAAAAGTAAGAGTGGCGAAGTCTATTTTTGCTGTACGTACAAAATAAGAGGAGAGAGTCTTGGCCAACTGTGCCTTTAAGTAACAGGCCACTTCTGTCAAGGTACTGGGACCTTTTAGAGGTCAGGACCTCCCCCTGTAGGAATCTCCAGCCCCCAGTACTGCCCCGCACCCAGGAGCACGTGAGTACTCGTCAACTGACATAAATGAGAGTGGAGATATTTCAGCTGCTCTGTGTGTTCTGGAGGAGTGTTTCCCAAAGCACGCAGATCACCTGAGGAATGCAGGTTCTGATTTTGGAGTCTGGGGTGAGCCCTGAGATTCTGCATTTCCAACACGTTCCGGGGACGGACGGGGAAGGGTGCTGACGCTGCCCGGCCCAGGGACCACACTTGGAGAGCCTCGGACCTGGAGGACAGGAAAACCAGTGCAAACGTTTTCTATTGCAGCTTGCTGTCACACAGCCGCCCTGGAAGCCGCCCCTGCACCCGCTATCTCCCCGGGCCCCCAGGTAGCTGGTGGTGACAATGGCTGCAGGGCAGCGCCCTGCGAAGTGCAGGGGTGAAGGTCTGCAGGCCCCGCTAACCACGCCCTTCTCTTCCCCAGGGGAGGAGCGCCCCCGGGACTCCCCGGGCCCGGCGGAGGCCCAGGCACCGGCCGGGGTGGAGGCCGGCGGGAGAGCGAGTCGCCGCTGCTGGACGTGCTCCCGGGCGCAACTCAAGAAGATCTTCTGGGGCGTGGCGGTCGTGCTGTGCGTGTGCTCCTCGTGGGCGGGCTCCACGCAGCTCGCCAAGCTGACCTTCAGGAAGTTCGACGCGCCCTTCACCCTCACGTGGTTTGCCACCAACTGGAACTTTTTATTCTTCCCGTTGTACTACGTGGGGCACGTCTGCAAGTCCACAGAGAAGCAGTCTGTGAAGCAGCGATACAGGTAGGCGCGTCCTGCATGAGGAGGCCTCCTGACCCCGGGCTGCTCCATCCAGCGCTGACTCTGCAGAGCTGCCCCTGGTGGCAGGCGCTGGGATGAGCCGGTGGGAGCCCGTGGAGAGATGTTGCAGTGAATGCACCTGCTCTCAGTGGGGTCGGGAGCAGAATTCTGTCTACCCTGGGTAGTGAACGCCTCCTTCCTCTACCTCCTGCCCCTCAGCCCTGGGAGCCCCTTTATATAAAAGCAGGCAGCAGCGTCTTCCAGAGACGGCAAGTAGTAGGTCCCCAGAACGCTTAGAAATGGGAGAACTGTGTAGCTCAGTTCATCCCTCAGCAAGCTTGGGGTGAGGACCGCAAGGCCATGGAGCCAGGTCACTCGGACGCTTCCTGTAGCTGACTTCCCTCGCGGAGATGTTCGCTGCAGAGACTTCCTTACTCATCCTCTTTCTAATCCCAAGACATGCCCCCCTTCGCGTATGTAATTGCATGGGTCTGAATATCTCCCAGTGTGATGGTCAAAACCAAAGCAGTGTCTGGACTTTGTTGACTATATTTTCTCAAATGGAGTCCATTGGAATGACGTCCCTTTCAAAAAGAGGCCAGAAACCCTGACCTCAACCCCTACCTCAGTATGCAGGAGGGCTCATGCAGCCCTCCCCGGGAGTCACACTGTAGGTGTTGACCCGTGGCGCTCATCTGTGCCAATTAAGAGCATCTCGTGTTTCCCCAAAGTGGAGGCCTTCTGTGGGCCATGTCATGGGCGTCCCAAATCAGGCCTAGTCAAAAAAAAAAAAAAAAAAAAAGAAAAAGAAAAAAAGAAACAGAAATGAATGCTGGCCAAGGTGACACAGTAGGCCCTGGAAACTTTTATCAGCCCCAGAGGTGAGGAGAAATTGAGCATTTAAGAGTCTTCATTCCTTCACCACTGCCTTCTTCCCCACCACACCCCACCCCACCCTGACAAACACATAACCCCATAAGATTGCTATGTCCTGAAGTTCCCCTTAGAAGATACAAGGTAACTAAAAACATCATTGGGTCCAAGGAACAAAGAGGTTTGGAAATGGAGGTCTACCCCTGGACCAGAATTTCTTTCCGGGAATCTACCATGTTGTTCCTGTAAACTTGTAGCTGGAAGTACGGGTGTGATACTTTTTTAATGTTCAGAGGGAATTCTGGCTCCTTTAAAATACCAACTTGTAAATCAGAGCACGAATTCTGGAGGAGGGGGCTCTGATGGAGCTTGAATAGAATCACATGGCCAGTCTCACATGTCCCCTTAGTGAAACGGATTTGGTGCAAAGAATTCTGATCCTCAGGGTTGACCTAAACCAGTGGCTCATGGACCAGCCAGAAATTGCTAAAGAGGCACTTAATGCACCCTCTTCTGAATAGAAGCCAAAAGCAGAAGGAAACAAATCATTAGCACCCAAGATTGTCCCAAAGGCAAGAGTAAAATAGTCCCAGAGAAAAGCTAATATTTAGTAAATGATGTATTTAACAGTTAAGTATCCCTAAGTGTATTTAATTTGTAATTAGGCGGTAACCCTTCATTAAAACTGATTAGGATGGTATGCTACTGCCTCTAACGAAATGCTCAAAGTGAGCTTATATGCACGTTCTTGATCAAGAATTATTGGGAGAGAAGATGAAATTCTTCTTTCCTGCTACCTTCAACCATACAGGCTGAAAGAGGACCCCCAAGTGGTAACACTGGCTGTTGTCCCAAATGTGCTCCATGGCTACCACTTACCTGGGAAGACTGTCACCACCAGCCACTTAGGGCGGGCCTGGCACCATTAAACTATTGTGCTGAAAACCGCACAGATGGAATCAAGATCAAGTGGTGCTTATACGGTCAATGTAGGAAAAAATGGAAGGTCATTGAAGATTAGTTATACATAGAAAAGCATCAGCACCTTGATTTCAACCTATTGTCTTCCTATAAAAAGTGCTCAAAAAGAATCATTTAAAAAATCTGATGACTGCCCTGTTAACTGGCGAACAATGTAAAAGAGGGAGGATAATCCCAACTTTATTGGTAAACTGGTTAAAAGCTTTCCCAATTTCTGTCATCACATTCTGCTCCAGCTCTTTAAAAAAGTTGTTTTGTTTTGTTTTGTTTTTTGTTTGTTTTTTTCTGATTATAAGCTGTGTTAGCCCCGTGGCTAGGCAGAGATGCTAATTTACCAGCCAATTATTAGGCATGTCAATCAAGCCATATACACCATTGGAGGGGTGAAGAGAGATCCTTCCTCAAAAGGAGAGAAAAATTTTAACATCACAGACCTTCCTTAGGACATCACAATTCTGTCACAACTCATATTGGGAGTACTTTAAACAGACTTTAGGATTCTCAGAGATCAAGGAAGACTGAAATCACATCTTTCATCTTCATGCTTTATCAAAATTAATGCCAGAGAGAAGATTTTGATTTGTCTGAGGAGATGAGTCTCTTGGCTAAAAGTGTTTAGCAGGGAGCTGGGAAGAAAAGGAGATGAACAGAGACCTGTTCCACCAAGAGGGGAGCTGGACAGATACAGCAGCTTTTCTTGCAGTTATCAGGAGGCAATCAGATGGAAGCTTCTTTTCTCTAAACCCTCCCCAACTGAGCCGCTTCCCCAGGGTGAAGCCGGAGCCGAGAGAGGAAGGCATGTGTTCCCCAGCACAGAGCTCCGCAACCTGCAACGCCCTGTGAGGCTCCCTGGGGTCTTGTTGAAGGCAGACTCTGATTCAGTGGGTCTGAGTGGATCTGAGATTCCGCTTTTCTAGGGAACTTCCAGGGAATCCTAGTGCTGCTGGCCCACAGGCTGCACTTTAACTGTAAATGCCCTGGAGTTGTTGAGTCCCAGCTACAGATTTTTTTTTTAAATGCTGCTGATTTTACCAAATGTTAGAACTAGGATTCACCTCACCATGTAGAACTGATGAGTGACTCCATTGAGCCCCAGAGGATGTTCGAGCCCTGGTCCTCTTCAAGCCCTGGTCCTCTGCCACTCATGACGGGAGGCTCCGTGGGCAAGTCCTCAAAGCTCTCAGAGCCTCAGATGCCCATTTGTAAATGGGAGGTGATGATATATGCACTGTCTTGTACAAAAGACTGCTGTGTGATCAAATGACACGCTGTATATGAAAGCGCCCTATACACTGTAACATGCTGTGTAAACGCGAGGAACAAGTACTGTGTTGTGATAGCCTCTGTGGGTTGTACTGAAGGCTGTTGCCCATGCTTTGTTCGTGAGCTGCCTTGTGGTGGCCAATTTAAACTACGAGAGTGCCAACCCCTATGCTGCATGCAAGTGTCAGTCCTGAAGAAATCAACTTGTGGCCCTAGTGCCTTCACAGGGCATACAAGAACACTGATCAGGGCTTCTCATGATCAGATACTGTTGTCAAGAATTAGATGTGAATGGGCAAACCTCTCAGCCTAACTCATCTGGGTTTTCAGCCCCTGCCTTAGTCTTCCTAGCAAGCACTCAACCATCCAGGAGTACAATGAGCTGCTTCCTTCTCCAATATGATAGGCAGCCCAACCCTTATCTTCACTGTTTCTCAATGAAGGTGGCCACAAGGATGTTCTGAGGAAGCAATAGTGCCCAGAACTCAGAGAGGGCTTCAGTCATGAGACGCTTGAGGGTGCTTGGGAACCACAGTTTCCTGGACCACCTAGCATCTAGGGGAGGCACAGGGAAGTGGCTGTATCAGGTCTGTGTTTGGGAGAGACTGTTGAGCACATGTGTGATGACACACAGCCTCCTGGCCCCTCTGACCTTGGAACAGGAATGCAGCTTTTCAGATCTGAGAGGTCAGCAGAGCTGGAGCAGATCTGGGGCATTTTCAGTCTTGTCCAAAGGTCTTCCAGGAATTTGCAGCAGTAATGACCTGCTTTCGAAAGCAAATGCTGAGACCTTCTGCTATCATGCAGCTGCCAAAAAAAGTGAACGGTGCAGTGGTGACAGATGTTTTTCTCTGCCTTTTGTAGTTCCAGGCTTTCTGTAAGCCAGCCAATTGATTCTGCTTCAGATATTCTGAGCAACAGTAGAGCCAAGAAAGGGAAAAGGGCAGTTTAGATGCCTTTCATCTTAAACCCTGCAAGGGCCCGGTGTGTGTACCTTGCCACCCAGACTTACGCAGGAACCATATCGGGTCTTGCAGCTGTAACATTTATCGGCCATTTAAAATCTAAAGAGCAGAGTGGAGCAGTTGCAAACCGGAGCTTTGTTCTGAAAATAGTTACTGTGCGTCTTCTCTAGGCAATGCACTAGAAATACAAGATAAATGGACTCTGGAAAGGGAGTCAGATAGCCAAACAGGGTGGGGGTGCATGCAAGGGAGCTGAGAGTGGGGGAAGGCCCAGATACATGTCCAGATACATGTGTCCTGGGGCAGGGTACAAAAGTTTCTTAGAAGAAGTTAGCTAGGGCCTGGCATGGTGGCTCTTGTCTGTAATCCCAGCACTTTGGTGGGCTGAGGAGGGCAGATTGATTGAGCCCAGAAGTTCAAGACCAGCCTTGGCAACATGGCAAAACCCTGTCTCTACTAAAAATACTAAAAATTAGCCAGGCGTGATGGTGCACCTGTAGTCCCAGCTACTCAGGGGACTAGGCAGGAGGATCACCTGAGCCTTGGGAGGTTAAGGCTGTAATAAGCAGTGATCAGACCACTGCACTCCAGCCTGGGTAACAGCGTGAGACCCTGTCTCAAAACAAAAAAAAAGAAGTTAGCCAGAAACAATTTATTTAAGGACAAGCAGATGGTTCTCTAGGTGCCGAAGGAGAAGGTCAAGAACATTCTAAGCAGACAGTAGCCTGGATAAAGGACACAGCCTGGACAAAGAGCACGGAGCTCTTCTTAGGATGTAGGATGTAATTGGGGTAAGGTGAAAGAGAAGACCCAGCAGTTAGGCAGAGCAGATGCTGGCAAGCCTCCTACACTATGCTGAGGAGTTTCACTTCCAGTGTGAATATCAGGAGTCATGGAAGCAATGATCAGATTGGATCTTTCAAAATGCAGCTGCTGCGACTCTGTAGAAAATGGAATGAAGGACAAGGCTGGAGGTCAATCCAGGTCAACATATACTTCTTTGATATCTATGTGGGCACGTGGACAGATGTGGATGACAATTGTTGTTCTTGACCCTAAGGAACTCACAACTGAGTGGGAGACAGTCTCCTATTAAAAAAAAAATTATATATATATATATATATATATATATATATATATATATGGAGGAAATGGGGCGAGAGCTGAGGGCAGACTGGCTTGGCTGTAGTTTGGCTGTGAAGACAGGGCACAGTAGATCTTGGGACTCCAAATTCAGCTGAAGGCCAGATGGGAAGGACTTGGGGTGCCCGATCAAGGAGTTGGGGCTTTATTCTCCAGGCAAGTGGAGCCTCCAGAAGTTTTTAGTATAATCAGAGCTGCTTTCAAAAGTAGGATTCATGGTACTAATTATGTAACTGGCTACAGCATACGGTCCCATTTCACATAAGAGGTGGAATGACTGTCAGGTGTTTGTTTGTTGGGGGACAGGATGCCTAGTTCCTGAGCAGTAGCAAGAACTTTGAGTGTGAATCCTGAAGTATTATAAAACTTGTTGAACTGTCAACTTTTTGAGACTACATCACACTCTTCTGTTGATAAAAAGCACTTTAATTGTCATTTTCACCAAACTCAAGTGTTCTGAAAACATGGGAAATATCTTCTTTTCAGGAAATATTTGTACAACTTTTCAGGCACAGTGGTAAATGCTAAGGCATTGCCAAGGGAGCCCTAATTAGCGATGCCCAGCATCTCCCTGCCTTCCTGCTGTCAGGCCTCACATTTCAGAAAGCTGATGCATTTCTTACCCTGAACCCCAGACACATTCCAGCCTGTTGTTCCTATCAACAGTTGTTCTTTATAGAGTAAGGCCCCTTTGGAAACAAGGTGACAGGGCCCCTCATCCTAGGAGAGAGATAGTGCTTCATTCGTTCCACAAAATCTTTCCAGCACCTTCTCTGTCTCAGGTGCTGTTCTAGGAACTGAGGATACAGCAGTGACAAGAGCAAGTGGAAATGCCCTTTACCTTCACCCTTCCTCCTACCTCATAGCAGTCTCATTTCCTGTCTGATTTCTTCGTTATTGTTATTGTATTAAATAATTTTTGTAGAGATGAGGTTTCGCCATGTTGCCCAGGCTAGTCTCATACTCCTGCTCTCAAGCGATCTGCCCACCTTGGCCCCCCAAAGTGCTGGGATTAAAGGCATGAGCCACTGCACCCAGCCTTTCCTGTCTGATTTCTAAGAATTATCCACCCAGAAAGTGATGAGCTACATTCATAACTCTTACAGTTGATGTTTTTGTTGTTTGTTTGTGTGTTTATTTTTGTAACTGGTTTAGAAAAAATTGACAAAATATTGGAAGACTGCAGTTTGTAATTTGGCCCATGGCTTGAGTGTGGTGGTGAATAATGGCAATTATGCATACACATCCTCATGTATAGCCAGGAGATTTTGCTAGCCTAAGGCAAAATACCATGCCCCATACACACACACATAGCCAGCTGAATAGCAGATGTCTGGTACAGCCACAGGAAATCATGTAATCAATGCTCCAAGTCTAAATGAGAAGTCATAATGGGCACCGGTGTCAGCAAAGGAAGAAATGAGATGGGGGAGGCTGAATAGGTTTGGGTTGTCTCTGCCTGTTTTAAGACAACACTTGCCATATTCAAGAATACATCAGTGGTGAAATGAAACAGAACATCGTCCACATGCCCCAGATTGTGACATCACCGTCTGAGTTTACACCAGGTCCCACCACTCCATATAGTCTTCCCTTTCATCCTATCATTGTGGTATTCATAGATTAGCTCATTTATTTTTCCTCTGGCATCTCCCCCCACCCCACCACCACATCTCAGTTAACATATGCTGGCTTCATCCCAGTGAAATTCAATGACAGCCAAACACCCCTACAGACAAGTTCAGAATATTCTTTCTACAAGTGATTTTTAGGCTTTCACTGAGGCAAGCAGAACATTTTCATTACCTCTTGATCTCCTTTTTTTCTATACTTCAGCCATCCCACATCCCAATTATCTGAGATTGCTATTCATCTTTGAACAGAAATCAAGGATATGGCTTTGAAGTTTAGCAGTTTAAGAAGGTTATCTGTCTTATAACCTTATAATTCCAGAGCTTGTCTTATTCAGCTATAGCAATGTTATTTCAATTTCACTGAAATTCTTTGAAAGGTCAGTGCCAACGCTCATGTTTGTGTTTAAGGTGCGGGTTTGAAGAATAACAGCCATTTAAATAACTGCCATATGAGTGTAATTATGACTTTTATGCGGTCATGATACCTGAGGCTGGAATTATCAACAAGGGATTTGGTAACATTTTTAGCTTAAGTGCCATGGTCCCTGTGAATATTTGCAAGATAGATGTGACAGTGAAATCAAAGGTGGGAAGCAATGAAGGATGGTCTCCCAGAGGAGCATCCTTCAACTGGTGGATTTTGAGGATCAGTTAATCTTTGTGCGGGTCAGATGAGAAGGAGGGCCCATGTAGGCGGCATACAAAAGTCACAAGTGTGTACGGATTTGCAGGATGTAACCAGTATGCTCAGGCACCACCCCATCCTATCCCAATGTAAGAAATGTGGAGCCATTTCTTACTTTCCATGTGGTTTTTCATCGAGTCAAGACTAGTAAGCCAGCCGATAGGCACATTGAAACTTAAAAATCTCACCACATTTAGCAAAGGATCATCTGCACAGAGACCTGGAAAGATCAAAAAAGGACTTTGAGGATTCTCTGATCCAACTTATTCATATTATCAATGAGTCCAGAGATGCTCAGAGAAAGGGCAAGAGAGCCCTGTGCTCTGCAGCCTCAGACCTCTCCAGAAATACTACTAGGAAAGAAGTGGGTCAGCGCTATCTGTCCTTATAGGAAGGAACCTGGAGGCGGTGCCTGGGCAGGTTGGAGCAACAGAGGTAGGAGTGCTACTAGCCCATGCTGGGACATTGTGATAGATGATAAGAACATATGCTTGCCATTAGATAGTTTGGGCAGGAAACTCATCTCTTCCTTTATTTGGCAACATGGTCATAGGTAAGTCAACTGAAAGCTCTTAGTCTCAGCTCTTACTTGAAAAAAATGGAGACTTTAATTCCCACTTCCAAAGGTCACTGTGGGATTGAGTGTCCCTCCTGTGGGCTCCCACAGCTTCTGTGTAGATCGTGTTTGAAATGAACAAAATTAAACACGATGGTGTGTAAAAAGTTCTAAACTGTTCTTGGTCCAGGGATTTCCTAACCATCTTTGATTGACTCCTAACGTGGATACCAAAACTCATTCAAACCATGCCTACTGCTCTCTCTAAATCATAAAGTGATGATGATGATGTCATAAAATGATGCTGATAATGATAATGATTATGAGGTCATAAAATGATGAGGGGGAGGGCTGGGCATGGTGGCTCATGCCTGTAATCCCAGCATTTTGGGAGGCTGAGTCGGGCGGATCACTTGAGCCCAGGAGTTCGAGACCAGCCTGGCCAACATGACGAAACCCCGTCTCTACTGAAAACACAAAAATTAGCTGGACGTGGTGGCATATGCCTGTAGTCCCAGCATTTTGGGAGGCTGAGTCGGGTGGATCACTTGAGTCCAGGAGTTCAAGACCAGCCTGGCCAACATGACAAAACCCCATCTCTACAGAAAATACAAAAATTAGCTGGACATGGTGGCACGTCCCTGTAGTCCCAGCTACTTGGGAGGCTGAGATAGGAGAATCACTTGAATCCAGGAGGCAGAGGTTGCAGTGAGCCAAGATCATGCCGCTGCACTCCAGCCTGGGTGACAGAGTGAGACCCTCTCTGAAAAAAAAAAATAAAAAAGCCAAATATGTATATATATAAAATGACAAGGAGGAGGTCCTAAAATGATGATGATGATCATGAGGTCATAAAATAATAATGATGATGATGATAACATAGTAGAACCCCAGGTAACTGAGTCTTCCTCCTTATGAAGATTCAGTTCAGATTAACCAGGTAGCTGATTTGGAGCCCACAGCAAGAAGGACAGCATTGTGCCCTGTCATTGTTTTAGGCTGTTGCAGGAGGAAGGAGCCTTTCTTGGCAGAGATGAACTTTGAGACAAGTCCTGACAGGAGGGGCAGAGAACTGATGTGGAACTTATCATTGTCATGACCTTCCAGGATATGAGCTGAAAGCCAGATGGAAATGTGAGGTGATCCATTTGTCTAGAAAGCAATGTCCTGTCAAGCTCTTGATGCTTTTTATTTTTCTAAAGCTTAAAAGCAAAAAGGAGAAAACATGCTAGTGCCATACAGAAGCTAAAGCAGATGTGTTTCTTTTCTTTCTTTTCTTTTCTGCTGGCACCCCTTTTGCCTTTATTGTATACAAATCCTAGCTAAATTGGAACGACCACCCTGCCCTTCATAGAAACAGACATTATACGGGCTTCCCAAATAACTAACCCACTTTCCTGCCACATGCGGCACAGGGGTACATACAAGTGTTGTACGCACAGGAGGCTCCAGGGATATAGAAAGGAATGAGACCACGTGTGGAGGGAAGGGACCTGAGCTTTGACTCAGGCTTGTTCCAGTTCTCAGATCCACTGTTTACACCCCACATGACTTTGGGTAAGTTATTTGTAAGGGCTCCTGCAGCTTCCGTTTTCTCATATTTAAAAATGGATCCAGGACAGCCGCGGTGGCTCACTTCAGTAACCCCAGCACTTGGGAGGCAGAGGCGGGTGGATCACCTGAAGTCAGGAGTTCAAGACCAGCCTGACCAACATGGCAAAACCCCATTTCTACTAAAAATACAAAATTAGCTGGGCATGGTAGCACATGCCTGTAATCCCAGCTACTTGTGAGGCTGAGGCAGGAGAATTGCTTGAATCCGGAAGGTGGAGGTTGCAGTGAGCTGAGATTGTACCATTGCACTCCAGCCTGGGCAACAAGAGTGACACTCTGTCTCAAAAAAAAAAAAAAAAAAAAATGGAGACAATAATGCCTGTTTACACGGTGGGCTACAAGGTTTGGGGTGCAAATCAGCTCGCCTGGAACATGGCCCTGGGTCAGTGCTGCAGTAACAGTGGTCACTGGTACCCCTGCTGCTGGTCAATGATTACCCGAGTGGTGATTATTATTGCTGTTCATCATCCAGTCTTCCTTGATGGCCTTTCTGCACATGCCATATTTCTTTGGGTAATAATCCATTTCTAATTGAGCCACAGGGTAAAGGCTTTTTGGCACTGGCATTCTCTCCCATATTATTTTGTGATATCACATTCCACATAAGCTTTGCTTGGCTAATGAAACAGGAGCCAGTGGGAACAGGAATCGTGGGAAATTGCTATGCTGGATTTTTAAACCAAAATCAAATCACATGCTTTTGGATAGCCAGTGTCTGTGCTAAGTGCTCCATAAGTCAGCCTCCAGTTCACCAGAATGCAGCTGTGTCTACTTCAAGCATGAACCAGAACAGATGGGGCCACATGCCTACCCCATCTTGGGCCAGGCCTCCCTTCCACCCGCTTCCCAGCCTGCTCTAGATCTGGTCCTGAAAGAGAAGGGGGCTCCACAAGGAGGGTCCCTAGGAAACTTCCTCTGATGCGTTTTCCAGCCTGGGTCATCCCATTCAAAGAGAGGTTCCAGCTGTGAGTGGGTTCACTGTGTCTTTCAGCTGGTGAACTTGTTCTCGGAAAGCTCTTAATTATTTAAAGTGCGTATTGGTTTTTGTGGCCACACCTCATACTGTCTAGCTGAGTTCGTTAAAAAAGACAAAAAATCCAATTGGCCAGAGGAATCTCCCTTTTCTGATATTTGGGCAAGTTCTATTCATATGCTTCCTGGATCATTTAAAATACAACTATACTAATTACATACACCTCCTAGGCTGGATTCTTTGTTGAGCAGAGAGAAAACAAAGATGATTTATGTACTTAATGTAACATTCAGGAGTGCATCAGAAGCATTTCACGCTTTTCTTACCTAAGTGCCTTATTTTATGACACTTACATTTAATGAGTTACTCTCAATCATATATACTTTATTAATTTATGACAAAATAAATTAAAAGCACTGGATATTAAAGCTCCCTTGTTGCAGGAACACATCATTAGAAACACTAGATAGCATTATTTTGCTACATGTTTCTCAGGGAAAAACAGAAGAGAACTTTGTCAAAGAAAGACTTTAAGTGTTTCACCAACAAAATGGAGACAGGCTTATCAGTATTTTACTATGAATTAGTGGGGGAGTAGGGGGAATGGGTCTTCCAAATGCTTATTGGTTAAAAGTGTTTTGTTTTGGCCGGGTGTGGTAGCTCATGCCTGTAATCCCAGCACTTTGAGAGGCCAAGGCAGGCAGATCATTTGAGGTCAGGAGTTCAAGACCAGCCTGTCCAACATGGTGAAACCCTGTCTCTACTAACAATACAAAAAAATTAGCTGGGCGTGGTGGTGCACACCTGTAATTCCAGCTACTCGGGAGGTTGAGGCACGAGAATCACTTGAACCTGGGAGACAGAGGTTGCAGAGATCACGCCACTGCACTCTAGCCTGGGCGACAGAGTGAGACTCCGCCTCAAAAAAAAATAATAAAGTGTTACTGGGGGTATGCTCACCTGCGTATCCCCAATAACACTTTATTATTAGATAACCGACTGTTATTAAAGTTGGACAAAAGTTGGTGTATTTATGCCCAGCTTAGAAAGTGCCTTTGTCTCTTGGTAAAGATGTTTTCTCGCATGTAGCAAGTGGAGGGAATTCACAAAGTAGATTGAGGGACACATGTAAACGTGCATTTTGCAGAATCCTTTTAGAGGATGTAGGAGGTGTAATAGATCTTCTCTAAAGAGGAAGGTTGGCACCTTCTAGGTTTCCTGGCCAAGCCCCCAGCTCTCAGGAGTCCTAAGCAAGCCACTGGTGTCCCGTTTGACTTTGCAAAACCACATCATTCTGAGACAGAGATGGGTGACTCTGAAGCCAAGATCCCTGCTCCTGCTACAGTGCAGGGTTGCTGCAGGGAGGGCTGTGCAGCCAGAGACTACTACATCTCCCAGCCTCCCCTGGCATCTAACTTGGGCTAAGTGACTTCCCTCCAAATGGCTAGCAGTCAACCAAGACAGATAATAAGCAGATGGGCATTTTCCTCCACTTCCCTGTTCCACTGGCCACATCACAGAATCCCCAGGC
Organism: Homo sapiens; assembly: GCF_000001405.40. Classification (NCBI taxonomy): domain Eukaryota; kingdom Metazoa; phylum Chordata; class Mammalia; order Primates; family Hominidae; genus Homo; species Homo sapiens. Next base: position 234,243,957 of record NC_000001.11, read on the forward strand.
TTCAAGGGATTGCATAGCTGCAAGGTGGGAGAAGGCTCACCAACGGGTGAAATGACACCTGTCAACCAGTAACATGAATCAAAACTAAACTTCTGTGTGCCAAGCCTCTGAACAGAAGAGTTTGGCATAACAGCTAGCATGACATTGATTAGTATGATCTCCATCTCTCCCCACAAGCTCAGAGTTGGAGTCAGTCTGAGAGCCTACATCCTCTACCATGCATACTTAGATATCCTTATTGGCCAAAAGCTTCCATGTGGCTTTATTTTTATTCTGAATATAATAAAAATTTTTAAAGAGTATCTGGACAGAAAATGTCAATCTTTGAACACCACAAGGACAGGGATCATGTCCGTCTTGCTCACCTGCATGTCCCCAGCACCTTGCACAGTGCCCGGTGGGGTGCTGGTAGAAAGGGGTTGGGGGAAGGAAGAAACTATCCATGGGCAGTGGTGGTGATATCAATATCATGTTCACAATCAGAGTAGACTTGCTAAGATCAGCTCTCGGCAGGCAGTCTCCAAGGAGCAATGCAGGAATCATTTCCCTCTGTCCTTATAAGAAGCTGTTCCTCTATCATCCAGAATGATAAACTAATCCTATTCAGAAAGAGCCCTTGAATGACAAAGTAAGTTTTAGAAAAAGAAGTGCTTGATTATCACTTTTTTTTTTTTTTGGAAATTAGTCAGGTCTGAAATTAGTAGACTAGCAGAGGGGAAGTTCCATTATGCCATCTGATTGAACTGAGAGTAAAAACCCATCTTCAGGAAGTTTCAATTCCACATTTATACTGGCTAGAATTTCACAAGTTCCTAAAGCTCACTGAGTCCTGGAAGAGAAGAATTTAGAGGATTTGTGCATTTAGGGTCTTTAAAGTCCTGCTAACTTTTTTATCAATATAAAATATATATTATGTGTAAATGTGTTTTTTACATGCATAGACTATGTAATGATCAAGTCACTATTGGGGGTTTCCATCACTTTGAGTATTTGTCATTTTTATGCATTGATATCATTTCATGTCCTCTCTTCTCATTAGTTTGAAATACACAAAATATTGTTTGCTAAGCATCGTCACCCTAGTCTTTTTCCTTAGTACTCTTTTCTTCTATCTAACTGTATGTTTGTCCCCATTAACCAACTTCACTTCACTCCTACCCTCTACCACCACCTACCTTTCCCAGTCTCTGGTACTATTATTCTGTTCTCTGTGTCCTTGAGATCAAGTGTTTTTAGCTCCTGCATGAGTGAGAACATGCAGTATTTCTCTTTCTGTGCCTGGATTATTTCAATTAACAGAATGACCTCCAGTTCCATCCATGTTGCTGCAAATGACATGATTTCATTCCTTTTTACAGCGGAATGGTATTCCATTGTGTATATATGCCACATTTTCTTTATCCATTTGTCCATTGATGGACACATAAGTTGATTCCATATCTTGGCTGTTGTGAATAGTGCTGTGATAAACATGTGAGTGCAGGTATCCCTTTGAGATACTGATTTATTTTCCTTTGGATAAATACCCAGCAATGGGATTGCTTCCTGCTATGGGATTTGAGAACCTACATCTGTTTCAGTTACTATTACTCTTTAACAAACTAATCTGAACCTTAATGGCATTAACAACTCCTTTGTTGGCATCAAGGGATGGCTTTTCCCCTGCTCCATGATGCTTAGAGCGTGTGCTGGAGGGGGCAACTCAACAGCTGGGGGCTAGGCACATCTGTTGTCTTCCTCCAATGTCTGGAAGTTGATGCTGGTTGTCATGGGCCACCTAAGCTGGAGCTGTCAACCTGAGGGTCTACACTTGGCCTCTTCTGATGGCCTGGGCTTCCTCACAGGAGGGTGGTCCGTGGTAATCACACTGCGTTCATGGTTGCAGCTCAGAGCCCCAGAGGGATCAGTGGACACACAGCAGAAACTCCATTCCTTTTAGGACCTAGCCTCAAAGTCACATAGTGTCACTTCCACCATAGTTTATGTCAAGGCAGTTACGAGCCTGCCCAGTTTCAAGGGGGAGGGGGACATCAACTTTGCCTCTTGACTGGAGGGTGGCAAGATCATCTCGGGGAAGAGTACATGGAATGGGAGGTATTGCTGCTACCACCTTTGGAAAATATTATCTTCCACAGCATCTGAAGCAAAGGTGGTGTTTAGAGAGAGTAGTACACTGGCCTCTGTTAGGAAGATGTGTTACTGGGCTAGGAAAGGCTGCCAGTGGCAGAGGCTTGGGGTTTGGGAGGCAGGAGGAGTGGCTCAGATGGAGAATTCTACCAGGGCAGCAGCAGTTCACTTTCTCTAACCTGACCCCAGAGAGCAATCAGGACCCTGATTTACCCCCAAGCTTTTGGGTGCAGCTGGTCTAGCTTCAAGCCCTTCTAGACACCCTGGGACCTACCCAGGTTCCCCCAGACTTCAGCTGCAGCATCTGCTGTCTCCTTTCTCTGAGAAGCAGGGCCTGTATCAGTAAAGCAGAAAATAATATCAACCTGGATAGAGAGGACTAATAAAAGTGATAATAAATTATTCAGAGAGTGGAAAACTACTCTGGAGCTGCCAAATGATAAGAGCAAACACACGATGTGTTTTCTGTCCATGAATCTTCTGGATTCCTTTTTCCATACTGATGTTTTCCCCTTCTGAATAGGTGAAGTATTTTTATGCAAATAGTGCCCAAGAAGTACAGTAATGCAGGCCACTGACAACACAGTCATGTATAACCCAAGTCACATCCTTTTATGCACTGAACTGCCAGGGGACCTAGCATTAATAAAAACCACACGTAAAACAGAAACAGCCATATGCTGAGTTAAGGCATGAATAAGAAATCACTCCCAGAAGTGGTGAGAACAGCAGAGCAGAGTGCTATTGTGGCTCTGTAGGTTGAGTGCTCTGAGAATTGGGAGGCCCTGTCGGCTGCTGTATGTGTTCAAGTCAGATGGTGTCGGTCGGGGGTAAGGCCAGACCATGGTGCTGTCCTAGGAGCCAGGCACAGCACAGAGGAGGTGGCAGACACGGCAGGGTGTGATGGTCTCAAAATAGCAGAAACCACAGCCAAGTTCAAGACCCAGTTACCAGTTCATGGGGCTGGAAACCTGGAAACCAAGGTGTGAAACCAAACAGGTGGGAGCTTGAGCACCAGCAATGGTGTCTTAAATAGTTCCAAGCCCAAGTTGTATGGGAAGGTTGGGTGCTAGGTGCTTGAAACAAAAAAAGAAGAGAAACTCTGTGTGGCAGGGAGTAGTGGAATTATGTGAATGCATGGGTGCATGTATGCATGTGTCTATGTGTGCATATGTGTATAATAGAGCAATGGTTTTAAACTTTGTCATTTGATTGTTGGGTTGGTCAGTTGATTGGCTGGTCCATTGTTTGATAGTTTGGTTGGCTGTTCCATTGTTCGGTAGGTTGGTTGGCTGGTCCATTTTTAGGTGGGTTGGTTGGCTGGTCCATTGTTTGGTGGGTTGGTTGGTTGGTCCATTGTTTGGTGGGTTGGTTGGTTGGTTGGTCCATTGCTTGGTGGATTGCTTGGCTGGTCCATTGTTCAGTAGGTTGATTGGATGGTCCATTGTTCAGTGGGTTGGTTGCCTGGTTCGTTGTTCAGTGGGTTGATTGGCTGGTCCATTGTTTGGTGGGTTGAATGGCTGGTCTATTGTTCAGTAGGTTGGTTGGCTGGTCCATTGTTTGGGGGGCTGGTTGGCTGGTCAGTTGTTCTGTGGGTCGGTTGGCTGGTCCATTGTTCAGTGGGTTGGTTGGCTGGTCCATTGTTTGGTGGGTCGGTTGGCTGGTCCATTGTTTGGTGGGTTGGTTGGCTGGTTCATTGTTCAGTGGGTTGGTTGGCTGGTCCATTGTTTCATGGGTCAGTTGGCTGGTGCATTGTTTGATGGGTCAGTTGGCTGGTGCATTGTTTGATGGGTCAGTTGGCTGGTCCGTTGTTTGGTGGGTAGGTTGGTTGGTCCATTGCTTGGTGGGTTGGTTGGTTGGTCCATTGCTTGGTGGATTGCTTGGCTGGTCCATTGTTCAGTAGGTTGGTTGACTGGTTCGTTGTTCGGTGGGTTGATTGGCTGGTCCATTGTTTGGTAGGTTGAATGGCTGGTCTATTGTTCAGTAGGTTGGTTGGCTGGTCCATTGTTTGGGGGGCTGGTTGGCTGGTCAGTTGTTCTGTGGGTCGGTTGGCTGGTCCATTGTTCAGTGGGTTGGTTGGCTGGTCCATTGTTTGATGGGTCAGTTGGCTGGTCCATTGTTTGGTGGGTTGGTTGGTTGGTCCATTGTTTGGTGGGTCGGTTGTTTGGTCCATTGTTTGATGGGTCAGTTGGCTGGTCCATTGTTTGGTGGGTTGGTTGGTTGGTCCATTGTTTGGTGGGTTGGTTGGCTGGTCCATTGTTTGATGGGTCAGTTGGCCGGTCCATTGTTCAGTGGGTTGGTTGGCTGGTCCATTGTTTGATGGGTCAGTTGGCTGGTGCATTGTTTGGTGGGTTGGTTGGCTGGTCCATTGTTTGATGGGTCAGTTGGCTGGTGCATTGTTTGGTGGGTTGGTTGGCTCGTCCATTGTTTGATGGGTCAGTTGGCTGGTGCATTGTTTGGTGGGTTGGTTGGCTGGTTCATTTTTGGTTTCAGGGGTATTTAGCAGAGGAACACTTCCTTCTAATTGAAAAACATCACATAAAGAAATGCCATATGAAAAAGAGATTCAAGAGGAGCTGTTCTGGCTATATTCAAAAAGCACTCAGATTTTTCCCAGGCTTATTTCAGATCCTCTTGATCAGAGGCTAAGCCCCAAGATACAAATCTGTTCCTGCCAGAAGCACCATGTCACAGCCCAGAAATCAAACTCTGTTCCTTGTTGCCACTTAGGTGACCAAGGTGTCTTCCCACACTCCCTGCCCTTCCAGAGTCATAGACCCCTACTCAGAGTGAAGGCCAGGTGAAAACCTCACCTGTGCAGCCACCAGGGAAACCTTCAGATACGTGTGAGGGATCCTCCAGGTTTCTTCTGTTGGAATCCCTTGCTTGTACAGCAAATCCAGAGGGAGTAGATTTTGCAGGTGCTCTGGGTGAATCTTAGGGAATGCACCCCAGGAAGCAACCCACTGGCCAGCGAGTAAGTCAGGATTTCCTGAATCTCTGCAGGGATTCGCTAACTAATCGTAAATGGAAAACACAATATCCTCCTGGGAGTGGCAGGGCTGGAGCTAGGAGTGAGGCAATTGTATCCTACCCACTCAGTAGGACCCTCACCTTGCATGAATGGTCTCATCCTTATCACCACCTCCAGGCGTGTATACTGTCATATTCTTCTGCTCAAGTTCTCTCTACCCCTTTACACATATCTAGCTTCTTTCACAGGTTTTTCCTCTATCCCATACGGAAGCTTCCATCCTCCCTAGTGAGAAAGAGGAATTCTTCATGGCCTTGCCTAAAGGAGGCCGGGCTGTGTGTGAACCCTCAGGCAGGAGAGGAACCTCCCCCTTATCCCATGGGTCTGAACAGATTCCTTATGCCACCTCTTGTGGCACATTTGGTGGGCATGTCGGTGAGGGTTTCTTGCCCACCTTCATCCAAGTACCAAGTACATCTGGAGGAGAGGGGTGGTCACTGGTCTGCTGTGGGTTGGGGCAGGGGTCCTATGGGAAAGTGAGATTGACTGCCCCACCCCTGGCCAGGGCCCTGCGTTTTTATTTTGTTGCAAGTAAAATTGGGTCCCCAAAATTATGTAGTCATCCTAAGGGTAAAAGCCAGTTTGAATTCAAATGGTCTCTCACCATTATCGTTCATGGGTGAACTTGACACTTTAGCCCAAGTAGATGATTGACAGCACAGGTATCTGGGGCATAATAACTCAGACAGACCTCTGTGCGTCTAGCCCTGAGGCTGCATCCCCCGAAGTGTGTTCCACACAATGTTAGTAATGCACCATGTTAATTAGGCTTCTGTGGTCAAAGCAGTTTGTGGAATGTATAGTTTTTGACTGCAGAACTCCTTACTCTTTAAAGTGCTAATATGTACCGGAACCCTCCGAGGGAGTATACAGTATGCCGTGTCTCCCAGCATATTTTACCAAACTAGGAAAAAAGCTAGAAATATATATGGGAGAAGAAGGAAATTATAGGCCCTGTAGTAGACCTTCTTTTCCACTGAATATAACACCTGTGCCAGCATTCTAAGAAGCACATTTTTGAAGATACTATTTATTCAAAATAAAATAAGAGATAGATGGAACTGTGAGCTAAAAAGAGATACAATATGTGGACACTGGTGACTATGATAGTTAGAAAACAGTAATTTGTTTAGGACAAAGCAAAGGCAAAGAGGAGGCTAAATGGAGTGGGGCAATGGCCCCTGTCTTCGCCTGTTTGTGTTGCTATAAAGGAATACCTGAGGCTGGGTCACTTACAAAGAAAAGAAGTTCCTTGGGCCGGGCGCGGTGGCTCACGCCTGTAATCCCAGCACTTTGGGAGGCCGAGGCGGGCGGATCACGAGGTCAGGAGATCGAGACCATCCCGGCTAAAACGGTGAAACCCCGTCTCTACTAAAAATACAAAAAATTAGCCGGGCGTAGTGGCGGGCGCCTGTAGTCCCAGCTACTTGGGAGGCTGAGGCAGGAGAATGGCGTGAACCCGGGAGGCGGAGCTTGCAGTGAGCCGAGATCCCGCCACTGCACTCCAGCCTGGGCGACAGAGCGAGACTCCGTCTCAAAAAAAAAAAAAAAAAAAGAAGTTCCTTTGATTCATCATTTTGCAGGATATACAAGAAGCATGGTGCCAGCGTTTGCATCTAGTAAGAACCTCAGACTGCTTCCACTCATGATGGAAGGTGAAGCAGAGATTATATGACAAGAAGCAAAAAGAGAGAGGAGGGGGCACCACACTCTTTTTAACAATTGGCTGCCACAGGAGCTAATAGAGTGAGAACTCACTCATTACTGCAAAGACTGCACCAAGCCATTCAGGAGGGATTTGCCCCTGTGATACAAAGACCTCCCATTAGGCCCCACCTCCAGCACTGGGGATCAGATTTCAACATGAGATTTGGAGGGGCCAAACAAATGAAACCATAGCAATCCCCTAGCAAATGAAGGCTTGAGGTGCCTCCTGCTTGGAACAGATGACAATGCCAACAAAGTCTGAAAGGAACAACTAAGAGTAGTGGAGTATTTCGACATCTTGACCAATGCTGGATGCCTCATTAAACTAGACTTTGGTCCTCTAATAAATTTCTGACCTCCTTTAGGATGATTTCATTGCTCAAGAGGTAAAGGAAATAGCAAGGACTGGTTTGACCAACAAGGAAAGACTGCTTAGTGAGTGAAGGTTACAGGGACAAAAGGGAAAGTAACCATGGCATCCTAAAGTTTATGAAAGGAAAGTGCATGGTGAGTGGATGTATGATTTTCAATTAGGAGATCATTTGAGTTTGACCCTTTCGCCCGATAGGGTAATGATGGGAACAACAGCCAGGTAGAAACTATATATATAGAAGAAAAGAGCCCATTTACAAACTAAACCAAAAAAAAAAAAAAAAACACACACACACACTTTTAAATCCCTGGTAGTAAATGTAATAAAAATTTATAGAACTGCATAAAGAAAGCTTTAAAACTCTCTCAAGAATCAACAACATAAAAATGTCCATCCTTCCTATGTTAATTTATAAACTGAGTGTTATCCCAATTAAAATGTCCAAATGTTTGTTTTAGGAAATGGACAAGAATACTCTGGAAAAGAAGAGCAATAGGGAGAACTAGCTGTTCTACAGGTTAAAATATACTCTGAAGCCTCAGTAATTAAAGCAATGTGGTACTGGTACATGTTCAGACAAATGTCCTGAAATAGACCTAAATACAGAAAGAACTTTAGTACATAATAATCTTGTATAAGTGAAGGAAAGATACATTACTTAGTAAGTAATACTGGGGCAACTAAGAAACCACCTAGAAAAAAAATAATTTGATCATACCTCCTACTGTAAGCCTAGATAAATTCCAAATGGAATTTAGGTGTAAAACCTGAAATCTTACCAATACTAGATAAAGACATGGAGCAATTATTTTATGACTTGTCTCACTGTGGTACAAAGTTTAGAAGTTATCAAAGAAAAGATTGATTGTAAATTAAACTACTTTTTTTTTTTGAGACAGAGTCTCTCTGTCTCCCAAGCTGGAGTGCGATGGCATGATCTCAGCTCACTGAAACCTCTGCGTCCCAGATTCAAGTGATTCTCCTGCCTCAGCCTCCAAAGTAGTTGGGATTATAGGCCCACACCACTACGCCTGGCTAATTTTTGTATTTTTAGTAGAGACGGTGTTTCACCGTGTTGGTCAGGCTGGTCTCAAACTCCTGGCCTCAAGTGATTCGCCCACCTCAGCCTTCCAAAGTGCTGGGATTATAGGCGTGAGCTACCATGCTTGGCCCTAAACTATATTTTTTAAAAATGCTTAAAGACTACTGCTTGGCAAAAAATAAAAATAAAAAATAATAACGAAATCACCATCAGCAAAGTAAGAATCCAAATTAGCAAACTAGAAAAAATATGTGTAACGCATATGATAAACAAAGGGCTAATCTCTGTTAACAATCAACAACTCAATAGAGAAATGAACAAAGGATATAAACAGATACTGCATAGGAAAGGACATTGAAATGACTCAAATACATATGAAAAGATGCTTACTTTCACTCTTACGAGAGAAATGTGAATTAAAACATATTTTTATCTGTCAAATTAACAAATAAATTTTAAAAAGGAGACTTGATAATATGCCATGTTAGCAAAGCTGAAAGAAAACAAGTACTTAATACATTGCCAAGGCAGTACTCACGACACTGATAAACCTTATGTGGAGTAATTTTTATAACAGTACCCATCAAAATCACAAAGGCATATCTGCTTTGACCTGGTAGCTTTACTCCTAGGAATTTACATTAGAGGATGTACAAGCAAGCATGGACGATAAAGTTTGAACATGATATCATTACAGCATTGTTTGTAATTAGCTAAAGATTAGAAACAACCTAAAATATTCAACAATCAGGAACTGGCTAAAGAGATTGTGGTATACAACCTTTGGTAGAATGCTGTTCAGCTGGCCAGGCGCAGTGGCTCACGCCTGTAATCCCAGCACTTTGGGAGGCCAAGGCGGGTGGATCACCTGAGGTCAGGAGTTCGAGACCAGCCTGGCCAATATGATGAAACCCTGTCTCTACTAAAAATACAAAAATTAACTGGGCATAGTGGGGCACACCTGTAATCCCAGCTACTCAGGAGGCTGAGGCAGGAGGATCACTTGAACCCGGGAGGCAGAGGTTGCAGTAAGCCAAAATGGCGCCACCGCACTCCAGCCTGGGCAACAAGAGCAAAAAAACTTCATCTCAAAAAAAATAATAATAATTAAAAAAAAAACAGAATGCTGTTCACCTGTAAATAAAAGGGCTAGTGTTTATGCAATAAGGAAAGATCTCTAAGAAATATTGTTCAGTGAAAAAGCAACCATTTGAATTTAAAAAAAAAAAGGAGAATAGATATTTGTATGGCTTGAATATTCATTTAAAACCTCTAGAAGGATAAACAAGAAAACTAAAAACAGTGGTTTCCTGTTAGTAGGATGGGAAGAGGGCAAATGGTTAAATGCATTATGTTGTCAAAAAGAAGTATATAATTTAAAAAAAACAGCAACAACTAGAAAGAGTGGGGGCAGTTCCAAAAAAATAAGAACCAAGAGCGTCAGTATGACCATCCAGGGTGTTCTCTGATGAGCTCAGTTTTTAAAAGCATGTATAGAAAATGGACAGAGAGGCACATACCCAAGGCTGAATGCCAAATAAGGTCAAGAGCAGCCTCCAGATGAAATAAGCCTTGAACAATGTCAAGGGCAAGGACATTTTTTTTCAGTCATTGTGAGGGAGTATATAACAAGGAAGGTCAATGTCACTGTGAGGGGTAGAGTGAGATGGCAGGATGCTAGCTGGTGACAGACAGAAAGGAGAACCACTTCCCTATTATGACCCTACTGCCTCTCACATGGGGATCCTTTAAGTCCTGCTTGTACTTGGGACTCTGAACTTCATCCATGTCCAAAACCAGGCAAAGGCTGCCCTCCCATGTGGGAAAAATTATTCTCTCGCTTGTGACTCTCTGGATTCATTGACTTCCATGAAGACTGGCCTTGGTTTTCCTTTGGCTTAATGATCTAAGAGTGCCATATTTGGCTTGTCTGTGGGCTGGTTCATTTTTTTATGCCTTTGGCTTCTTCAAAACTTCCCTATGCACTGGCTTTCTATATCCTTAGTAGTGTTCACACTCTTCTCTATTCTCAAAACCCAACCCATCTGGAACTCATTTCAGCCTCAAGCAGTTACATCAGACCTAACAAGTCAACCAAGAAGGCTCCCACCAGGCATTGGGCCTCTTCTTTCCAGAGGTCACCAATGGTGCAGATGTGGGTTTTACTTTTTTGGTGTCAAACCATCGGAGAGAAATGTCACCATCTTCTCCCATCCAAGAATAATAATCTTTAAATAGGGTAAGGACAATGAAGCACAAACGTTATGAAGAAGGAGGTAAAATCTAAGAAAGGAGACAAGATATAAACACACTTAGCCACTTTAAAAAATCTTCAAGTCTTTAGGCCCAAGTTAATTCTATCCCAGGGTAATAAAAAGGCTTGCAAACAGGATTGTAAAAGATACTATAAAGAAAAGGAATTATTTTGGAAGATCATTTCTCAGTTTTCTAAATGGTGAGAAAAAATTCTCTTAACCAAACAGGCATACCACTCACTCTCTGTAAAGTTCACGAATAAATTATTAACCAGTTTGTAAGCACTTAATAAACAAAGGTGTTGCTAGAAGCAAGCATAATTTCTTTATAAAAATATGCCAAATCAGCTGAGAAATCTTTGTCAACATGTTTTAGTTCATCATTGCCAATCTGGAGGGAGACATCCAGATGTTCACCACTGATCCTGACTTATTTAGTACTTTTGTTAGTAACTAAGTTGTACAGATATGACCAAGGTCTTTGTTATTACAAGATAATTTGTTTTGCGTAATTTATTTTTAAATGTCATTGTTAATTAAAAATGTCTGCTCTGTGAAAGAGATTGTTAAGAACATCAAAAAATTAGCCACCAACTGGGAGAAAATATTTACAAAACATCTGATGAAAGACTGATATCTAAAACGTACAGAGAACCCTTAAAACTAAACTACATGAAAACCCAACTCAAAAGTAGGCAAAAGATCAAAAAAGATACCTCACCAAAGATGATATACAGACAGCAAATTAGTATATGAAAAAATAATGTCATGTCATCAGAGAATTGCAGTTTAAAACAACAATGAGATACCACTACACACCTATTAAAATAGCCAAGATCTAGAACACTGACAACACCAAATATTGCTGAGAATGTGGAGCAATAGGAACTCTTCTTATTCATTGCTGGGGAAATGCAAAATAGCACAGCCACTTTAGAAAACAGCTTGGTGTTTTCTTACAGAACTAAACATACCTGTATAAAAGATCCAGCAATTGTGCTTTTTGGTGTTTACCCAAATGAGCTGAAAACTTATATCCACACAAAAACCTGCACACAGATATTTATAGCAGCTTTATTCATAATTGCCAAAAATTGGAAGAACCAAGATGTCCCTTGGAAGACATTGAACAACCTTAAATGCATATTACTAAGTGAAAGAAGCCAGTCTGAAAAGGCTATAGACTGTTTGATTCCAGCTATGTAACATTCTGCAAAAGGCAAAATTATAAAGACAATAAAAATCAGTGATGATTTGAACCCTGGAAGGGTTGGGGATGAAGGGATGAATCAGTGGAGCTTGGGGGATTAAAACACTTAGAGCAGTGAAATAATTCTGTATGATACTGTAATGGTAGATACATAACATTATGCATTTATTTAAAACAAAAACAAACCAAAAACCCTACAAATCCAAAACTGTACAACACAAAGAGTAAGCCCTAATTTAAACTACAGGCTTTAGTTAATAATAAAAAATCATGACTGGTTCATCAATCATAACAAATGTACATCAATGCAAGATATTAATAATGGGGAGGAGGGAGTATATGAGAACTCCCTCTAGTTTCTGCTCATTTTTTCTGTAAACCTAAAACTGCTCTGAAAAATAAAGTCTATTCATAATTTTAATGTCATAAGAGTGGAAAAAACATTTGATTGGAACTTTTGAAAAATGAATCTAAAAATGGTGAAAAGCATTTTCAAAATATAGTTTACCAATGCAATGATGAATTATTAGAATTAATAAAAAGTGAATTAAGTAAATTTTGGGAGTGATGGAAATATTCTATATCTTGACTGTGGCTGAGAAATAGAAATAAAATTCGAAGCTCCCCTGAATGATTGAACAGACCTCCTCTTGGCCAAGAGGACCCCAGAAGAAGCTTGGAAGCTGAATTTTCAGCTATGATGGGATGGTAGGACAAACCTCCTTATATCCTCTCCTTTGCTAACTGTCGTTAGGCTCTTTTGCCTAAGGGCTTGCCAGAAACCAGCCCTTTCAAAAGACTTCATCAGTGATTTCACAGCCTCATGACTCCTCCTCTCTTTTGTGGTTTGACAAAACAACCAACCAGCATTCCTTCACTGACCACGGAGTGGTTCTGGCCAGTCTATGAATGATGTGCATGAGGGTTTTTGTATCCTCTGCTTCACCTTTTGATGTCAGAGAACCAAAAACTCCACCATCAGATTATGCTAATGCCACCATTTGTCTAACATGGGACCCACAAAGGAGCATGAAGCTCAATTGTGCATGTGCACGTTTCTCCTTTTGTAAATATTCGTGACTGCTCCTATTGCTTATTGAATATGTATATTTGGCCACCCCATCCAGCATAAATCCCTGTCTTATTCTTCTGACCCTTGAAGTGCTTGCTCCCAGCTTCCTGGCCAGAGGCTACGCTTCTCAGCCTGTCCCAGTGGCCACGCTTCAGGCTGCAACTGTTTATGAGAAAGCTCTCCTTTCTAAATTTATGAACCTTGTCACTCTTCAGTTGATACAATAATAGTTTCATGGTAATAAAAATTTATCAAAACACATGGATACTTACAACTTAAAACGGGTGCATTTTATTGTATGTAAATTATACTTTAATGAGGTTAATTTTTTAAACTGAGATAAGTAGGTTGGGGATATAATTTTATGACCAAACTATAATAGTGCAACATATTGTCTGTCACCTTATGCTTGACTTTTACTCCATGATCCTGAAGAAAATGATTTTTACATAAATATTCAAGTACTTTGTCAATTTTTCCAGTCTCCTCTAAATCCTTTAATATTCAAGTCATTCTCTTTTAAACCCTCTTTGAAGTTATTATCCTTGTTGAATTTCTCTTCTTTAGTTGTTAATTCTCCTAAATCTGCTGTTTCTAGTTGGTCAGTGGTTTTTTTGTATGATTTGAGTTGTTCTCTTAACATCACTGCCATAGATTACTGATTTGATTTTGTCTTTTTAAGATTTGCCATTTGCTTTGTAACAAATTGCCATGTATTTGCACACAGCAAAAGAAGATGGACAAGGATTTGAATCAAAGGATGGACATAGATGCCAGTGTTGAAAAGGGAAAGATATTTGAGTTGGAAGTACTTCTATATTGCATTATAGCTGGTTCATTAGGGAATAATTTTATGTTAGGGTGAATTTTGCTTTTCTATACAACTTCGTAACTACAGAGACTGCAATAAGAAAGTTGTAAAAGTGCGTTCAAGAAAGAGGATGCATTTTAAAAATCAAATGGTTACATAAAATCAAGCAAAACTAATAGCTAATACAGTGGATGGCCGTATTGAGATTTAAAAACATATTGACAAGGTTGAAATGATCAGCCTAAGCCAGGAAGGGGAGATTTAACAAGCATTCCTTTTATAGGTAATTGCATTTGATAGGTATATGCATTACCTATTTAAGTATAAATGTCCAGTGTAGGTTGGACCTGTGGCTTGTCTGTAGTGCTTACAGGAAACCCTTGGTTTTGTAATCACCTGACAGTGTAATCGCCTGCAGTTCTTGCCCACTGTACAGATAAAGCCAATTCACTGAGATGGTGGTATTGCAGTAGAGAAAGTGTTTAATAATCATATGGTTCACCAAGTGGAAGAAGGGGAGTTAATTACTCAAGTCAGCCTCCCCGAAAGCTTGGAGGCTATCTTCAAGAATAGTTTGGTGGGCAAGGGTTTAGGGAATGGGGAATGCTGATTTGTTGAGTTAAGGATGAAATCATAATGGGGGGTCAAAGCTGTCTTCTTGCACTGAGTCAGTTCCTGGGCGGGAGTTCACAGGACTGGTTGAATTAGTTCCTCAATATGAGTCACAGGTCCAGGTGGACTCCCTCAGTGAACAAATTGGAAAAGTCTGAAAAATACCTCAAACACCAATCTTAGGTTTTACGATAATGATATTACCTGTGGGAGCAATTAGAGAAGTTACAAATATTGTGACTATCCCTACATGACTCCTGAGCAGTAAACAATGACTAGTTATCATTTAACTATGCCTAGGTCTTAGTGGAATTCAGGCCCCTCCCATAATTCTAATCTTGTGACCTTTCATTAGTTTTACAAAGGCAGTTCCATCCTGAACAAGGAGCGAATAGTTTTGGAAAGAGGCTATTATCATCCTTGCTTTAAGGTTAAACTATAAACTAAATTCTTCCCATAGCTATCTTGGCCTATGCCCAGGAATGAGCAAGAGGTTGTGAGGTTAGAAGCAAGATGGAGTCAGCTATGTCAGATTTCTCTCAGATTTCTCTTACTGTCCTAGTTTTGCAAAGGCATTTCAGTTTCAGATCATGTCTGGGTCAGTACAAGCCAACAGTATCAGATAACAACAAAAGAAGCTAATGTCATTCTGTCTGGGTTAATTAAGGTACACCATCCAACTAGTGGAAATAAAAGTCATGCTGTGTTCTACACTGATGCAAACACTTGGAATAGTATGTCCTGTTCTGAGCTCCACCCTCTTAGAAAGGTGTTGATAAGTTATTGAATCCAGAGGAAGGTATATGGGGTATTCGGGGAAAGGGGAGAGTAAAAACCACTTCTTATGAAGAATGGTTGAGAGCAGTGGGAATATTAATCCTGGATGAAGTAAGACTTTGGGAGAGCCTAATAGCTGTCTTCAGACCTTCAAACCAAAAAATAGAGATCTGTAGCATTTTCCTGTTGGACAAGATGACCTCTAAAACTCCTTCTCCCTGGAAGATTCTTATTCCTATTGTGTTAAATCTTCACTTTAAAAGACCTTCTATTCGTACATTCTACTTCTTCCTCCAGTATATTGCATAAGCCTTAAACGAAAACCTATCACTATCATTTGACAGCAAGCTAACAGCTTCCCACCTCCCATTAGCTAATTGAAATCAACAATAATAAGAAAGAAATAGGGTTTTTATTCAATCCAGACGGCCACACACATAACTGAGCTGCTAAGTAGAAAGTTCCAGGATGCTTCTCCAGATGCAGCCTGAGGGGTCCTCCAGTTCCTCTGGGGCAGGGTTGCTCAAACATAAAGAAGCCATCTTATTAGCCAGGCATGGTGGTGTGCGTACCTGTAGTCCCAGCTACTCGGGAGGCTGAGACAGGAAAATTGCTTGAACCCAGGAGGCAGAGGTTGCAGTGAGCGGAGATCGTGCCGCTGCACTCCGGCCTGGGTGACAAAGCGAGACTCCATCTCAAATAATAATAATGATAATAATAATAATAATAATTTATCTCCTGATTTACACTCACACCATTGTTTAGGCAGGGACAGGGTAATTTCTCTAGTGGACTGTTTTTGTTTTCTGGTGGTTGCCTATCTACAGATATCACTATATCTATAGATCCATGAGCTATAGATATCACTATATTCAGTGATATCTTTGTTTTGATGCTCTTCCTTAAAGAGTATAATCACAGCTTCAATATAATAAAATCAAATTCATTCAGACCCCTTTCATTAAGAGTTAATTTTGATAGAGATTAAACTGCCCCTCGTAGTTTTCTGAGCTACTCCTGAACAAGAAGTTTGCTAAGCAAATGGATAGGGTAGGACAGGTGGGGAAAGGGTGTTTAACTTCTACGGCAAAAAAAATGAATAGGTTTTTAAATCTTTTGAAGCTTCCATCTACTTGAAATCAGTTGGCATGATAAGTGAATATTCTCTTTTCTGTACATCACACTCCTTAGTACTGGTTACTATGTCTCAAAACAGTTTTCAGGGTTTAGTGTGTAGAAGAATCACCCAGGAAGCTGGTTAAATGCTGATCCCAAGGCTCAGCCTCTAGACATTCTGCACTTCGTGAAAGGCTGCCATATGGACCCAAAAGCAAAAATATGCCCTTCTCTTCTACTTCATTATGTTCTCACTTAAAAAAAAGAGAAAAAACTACTTGTTTAGACCAAAGAAGTGAAATTTCACATTGTAGTTCAGAAAAGAATTCAGCGATGGCCATCTGGAATTAAGGCAGAAGTCACCTGGGGAGCTTGGGGTTTCTCTATATGAGTTCTGCTCAGGATCCCAGAGAGCCCTCTGGACGGAGATCATGGTCTTCCATACTGGGTCCTCCTTCTTTGAGTTTTGAACGGTAAGACTAGCCTAGGCTGAGGGGTAACATTCTGGGGTCAGGACTTGGGATATGAAATTCAGTTATCTTAATACTATGGACAGCCTGCTTAACTTTGCAGAGCCTCATCTTTTTCATCTATAGAAGGGGGATAACAAACGATCTTAATGTAGTCAGGTTAGTATGAGGCTCAGGTGAGTCATTTCCTGATTAAGCACATGGCACCGGGAGAAACTCCGCATACATAAGTGCCTCACGTCTCCCTCCATTTCCTCCACCAAAGTTACCCAACAGCAAGAACAAGACACTTTACTGCACGGACTTCCTGTGTTCGCCTCCCTCGATTGTAACCTCCAAGTATACACAGAGTTCCCATGAGAGGGAAATAGTTAAACATCAAAACAGGTATGAGCAACTTATGTTTTCTGCTTCACATGAAGCCAAACCTAGAAAAATGGAAGAGTTTAAGGACCGAAATTCTTTTTCCCTTAAAAATGAAAATAATTGTATTAAGTAAAATTTTGGCTAACACAATGCTAAGTGGGGCTTGTTGGTGGCAACCCATCCAGGCTACCTCCCGAGAAAGTGTTACCAGAAAGGAGTCCTGATCCAGACCCCAAGAAAGGGTTCTTGGATCTCATGCAAGAAAGAATTAGAGGTGAGTTTACAGAATAAAGTGAAAGCAAGTTTATTAAGAAAGTAAAGGAATAAAAGAACGGCCACTCCATAGGCAGAGAAGCCCTAAGGGCTGCTGGTTGTTTCTTGATCATATGGTAAACAAGGGGTGGTTTATTTGAGTTTTCTGGGAAAGGGGCAGGGAATTCCTGGAACTGAGGGAATTCCTGGATCTATAACTGATATAGTTATCCTATATCCATATAGAATAACTTCTGGATGTTGCCGTGGCATTTGTAAATGGTAATGGTGCTGGTGGGAGTGTCTTTTGGCATGCTAATGACTTATAATTAGTGTATAATGAGCAGTGAGGATGATCAGCTGTCACTTTTGTCACCATCTTGGTTTTGGCGGGTTTTGGCCGGCTTCTTTATTACATCCTGTTTTATCAGCAGGGTCTTTGTGACCTGTATCTTGTGCCTATCTCATCCTGTGACTAAGAATGCCTAACCTCCTGGGGATGCAGCCCAGCAGGTCTCATTTTACCCACACTCTATTCAAAATGGAGTCACTCTTGTTCAAATGCCTCTGACAAAAGCGGTGTGACAAGCCTGGGATTCCCATAGTGATCATGCTGGTAGGAGTGAGGTGTTATTATTTAGAAACACTATTGCACCCGCTAAGGATATGCATGGATAAGGTGAGTGAGAAAAATGAAAGGGCTTAACTAGTGTCGTACAGCCAGTGAACAGCAGGGCAGAGACTCAAACTTGGGTTTGCAGATGAGAAATCCTTCACCTTTCTATCTCCACAGTATTGACATCTCCCCAGCCTCTAAGGCTCACCCCAGGACAGTTGCCTGGTTGGGTAGGAAGCTGTTGGTGTTCATCTCAACAAATATTTACTGAGCACTTACAATGTGCCATGCTCCATATTAAATGCTGGAGGGTAAAGTGATGACTAAGAAAACCTCAACTTTCAAGGCATTCTATAATGTGCTACAAAGGGGAGGGAGTTACTTTAGGAAAGGGAGAAAGAGTGTGAAGCAATGTGCTAGTAATTATCAGTGAGAAGGATAACGTTGGACTAGCAGGGGGAGAGCCCTGCTGTGGCACTGACTTGCTTGCTGTGCATTTAGGCGAGATATTTCTTCTTGTGAGCCTCTGTTTTCTCACCTGTGAGATAGGGTTAATAGACTGATGTAACAAGCTTGTTTGATATGACTATAAGAAATACTTTGAGAATACATGCATTAATGAAAGCCCTCTCCAGTGCCTGGCATGTGGTTGGCACTCAGGAATGGTGGTGTCTGTCCTGGGAGTGGTGGTTGCAGTGGCTGCTTTAGGATCTGGCTCTTCTTACAGGAGAAAGAAACAGTTCCACTTCCTTCTAGGTAAGCTGTTTTTATTACTCCCTTCCTGGTCCTCCGGAGGGCCGCTGGCATTTGACTTTGGCAGAATTAGGACCTGAGTATGCCAAATGAAGCCTCTCTGGTGCCCATACTATCAGCCTGGATCCTGCAGGTAAGCTGCAAGCTGCAACAGCTTCAGGCACTGGTACAGAATGCGGTTCCGGTTGTGGTCTGAGGGCAGGTGGTGAGACCCTCTGCACCACCAAGTCACAGGCTCTGTTCCCCACTTCTCCTTTCCAGCCCCAAGGTGCGGGTTATTGGAATTCAGCTAGCTTTGGGAAAACAGGACTGTTTGTATTCTAACACAGAGCTGAGTCTCTATTAGGCAAACAGCCCTTTGACTAATGGACTTGGCCTTGGAACAAGAGCAAGCTGCTTACATTCCCAGGTTGCCACAGTTCTGGGCTACAGTTTGTATCCGGAGCAGATATGCCAGTGATCATGTGGCTTTGCATATGGGTACCCTGCTGATGGGATCACACACATAAGTCACATACAAGACTGCTGGTGAAAAAAAAGGAGTTGCTATGTACCTCAGATGACTGATCCTGCTAATCCTGGTCCGGGTGCTACCTGCAGGGGCCAAAACTGAGAAGCTCTGTTTGAGAAAGGGAGAGACTAACAGAAGCATGATGAGAAAAATCTGGGAGTTGGGGACTAGGAGTTAAGGCATATTTAGGTTCTATTTAGGATGGGGAACTTAAAAGAGATATGAATTTTAAAAGAACAAAAATTTTAAAGAGAGCTAAAAGAATGTTAAAGGAGTACAGGAATTTCTGATGAGAATTTTAACTCTTATTAAAATTATTATTTAGTATGCAAAATAAACCCTCTGTTCCACCTCCCTTGTGAAATCTTAGGTAAAATTCATCTTGCTTGCGTCTATATTTATGGGCTTTGTTGACTCGGGAGAGTATGCAACAGCATTTTGAGCCTTGATTTAAGGCTGGGAGGTTCTCAAAATGTGATCCCTGGAGCAAGAACATGAGTACCACCCAGGAGCTTGCTGGAATTGTGGTCTCAGGTCCCACCCCAGACCTGAAACAGAAACTCTGGGGATGAGGCCCAATCCTCTGGGTAATTCTAATGCAGTTGAAGTTTAAGAACCACTGGGGCAGGGTGACATCCTAGAAGCAGCACTTAGAGACAGCCAACACTTGAGATTTACTAGTGTCACCCACGAGAAAGCTAGGACACTTGTGCTCAAGGCTGGCTGACATTAGAATCACCAGGGGAGCTTTTAAGAGTCCAGATGCTGGCCCAGCATGGTGGCTCACGCTTGTAATCCAGCAATTTGGGAGGCCGAGGCGGGCAGATGACCTGAGGTCAGGAGTTCGAGACCAGCCTGGCCAACATGGTGAAGCCCTGTCTCTACTAAAAATACAAAAATTAGCCAGGCATAGTGGCAGGCACCTGTAATCCCAGCTACTCAGGAGGCTGAGGCAGGAGAATCACTTGAACCCAGGAGGCAGAGGTTGCAGTGAGCCAAGATCACACCACTACACTCCAGCCTGGGCGACAGAGCAAAACTCTGTCTTAACAACAACAACAAAAAATGCCATAAATTGGGAGGAAATGTTAGCAATACAGAAATATTAGCAATACAAATAACTGAAAAGGATTAATATCCAAATACCATTCACCACACCCTGAGACTAACCCACCAGGTGTGCACAAGGAACCTTCCACTTGGTGTCTGTTCAAGGACCTCACTCCAGCAGTTGTTCCCACCTTCTGCTGGATCATGTTCATCGCTCATTATAATATGATAGCTCTAAGAATTTAAAAAGTACACCTGGCCAGGTGCCACCTTATTTATCTCTCTGAATCCAGCAAAACTTACCGGAAGAGTAGTCTGTACTCTGTCTCCCTTTCTCTCTTAAACCTACACCACTATGGATGAGCTCTTATCAGAGTCATATGTTGCCAAATCCAGTGACCATTCTTAGTTGTCATCTTACTGTTAATTTTTGTTTTTATTTTTTCATCTCGTTGATAGAGGATCTTGCTCTGTTACCCATGCTGGAGTGGAGTGGCATGATCATAGCTCCATCATTACTACAGCCTCAAACTCTGGGGCGGAAATGATCCTCCAACATCAGCTTCCTGAGTAGCTAGGACTGCAGGCACACACCATCATGCCTGCTAATTTCTAAATTTTTTGTAGAGATGGGGTCTTTCTGTGTTGCACAGGTTGGCTTCAAACTCCTGGGCTCAAGTGATCCTCCCACATCAGCCTCCTGAGTAGCCAGGACTACAGGCATGCTCCTCCATACCTGGCCAGTATTCCTTTTACCTAAGCTAACACTTGAACCCTCCTTATTGTTTACCTGGGACACTGAACTTTTTGTGTCATCTCCCTTCCTCTCTGGCTGTTCCTTCTCAGGCTGCTTTACTGGTTCCTCCGGCCTCCCTGAACTCTGAACAGTCCAGGGCCCCACGCTCAGTCCTTTGTCCTCTCCTCTGCAGTGTCTACGCTTGCTCGCTAGGTGAGCCCCTCCTGTCTCATGTCTCCCTGATGATGACCCCCAGATGCATGCCCTCAGCCTGGACCTCTTTCATGAATTCCAAGACCTATAACCAACAGCCTGTTCAACACCTGCCCTCGAATAGCAAGTAGACATCTCAAATATAACATGTGAAAAATCAAACCCTTCATGTTCTATTCCTCTCACAATCCTCCCCACCTTGAATTACAGCAGCACCATTCTTGCAGTTGCACAGGCCAAAAATCTCAGCATTATTTCTTCTTTTTTTCTTTTTCTTTTTCTTTTTGTTTTTTTGGTAGAGATGGGGTCTTGCTATGTTACACAGGCTGGCCTCAACTCCTGGACTCAAGCGATCCTCCCGCCTCACCCTCCCTGAATGCTGGGATTATAGGTGTGAGCCACTGCATCCAGCCTCAGCATTATTTCTGATGCCTGTCTTTCCCTCATGCCCCTAGCCAAGCCAGCAGGGACCCCTTTTGACTGTACTTCCAGAACATATGTAGAAACTGACCACTTCTCACCAGCCCCACCATGTCCCCCCAAGACGAAGACATCATTCTCTCCCTTGTGTCACAAGGTTAGCCTCCCAAGCGTTCTCCATTCTTCTTTCCTTACCTCCCTGCAGTCTGTTCTCAACACAGAACAGTCCTTGAGACAGAAGCCTCCTGTCACTCCCCTACTCAAACCCCTGTAGTGCCCCCACCACATCACTCAAAATGAAAGCCAGAGTCTATGTACCCCACATGATGGAGGCCCTGATCCTTCTCCTCCCTTCTCAGCTGGGTCTCTGTCCCAGGCTCCACCCACACTCCAGCCTTTCCTCAGGTCCCCTGCCCTTTGTGTTTGCTCTTCCTCCATGGCTCTTCCCATGACGTCTGCAGGCCTCACCCTCTTACTCTGTTCAGGCCTTTGCTCAAATATCACCCCTTCAGGCTTTTCCTGACCCTACAGCTCAGCAGTCCCACTCCCTCTCTCCTGCCCAGCTCTGTTTTTCTCTACAAGGCATAGGAGCATTGACACACTATTTACTCTATATGTGTTTGTTTGCTCTCTGTACTAGGATACATGAGGAGAGGGACTTTGTTTTATTCACTGCTGTATCCCACAACCTAGAGTAGTGCCTGGTGTAGAATGAGCACTCCATTTCTCAAACAACTTAAATATTTTTTAAAGTTCTGCATATTATAAAAAAATACAGTAGAAAATGGGCAAAAGATTTTGACCTGCATGTAGAAAAGACACAAATGGCCAACAAACATGAAAAAAAAATGCTCCACTTATTTAGTAGTCTTGGAACTCCAACTAAAACTAACAGTTTATGCCTTTTGTGCCCACCAGAATGGCAGAACTAACAAAGCAGACAGTATCAGGCGAGGTGAGGATGTGCAAGTTCTGAACCTACATTCATTGTCAGTAGAAGGATAAATATTTACTATTCCTTTTGAAAACACTTTTACATCATATCCATACAGTCTTCCATCATGTAACATTGGGGATACATTCTGAGAAATGTATCCTTAGGGATTTCGTTGTTGTGTGAACATCATATAGTGTACTTACACAAGCCTCGACGGTATAGCCTGCTGCACACCTAGGCTATAATGGGATAGCCTAATTGTTCGTAGGCTGCAAACCTATGCAGCGTGTTACGGTACTGAATACTGTAGACAACTGTAACACAATGGTAAGTATTTTTATATCTAGACATATCTAAACATAGAAAAGGTCCAGTAAAATATGGTATTAACATCTTATGAAACCACCGGTATATATGCAATCCATCATTGACCAAAATGTCCATATGAAGCACATGGTTTTTTTTTTTTTTTTTTTTTTTTATTGATCATTCTTGGGTGTTTCTCGCAGAGGGGGATTTGGCAGGGTCATAGGACAATAGTGGAGGGAAGGTCAGCAGATAAACAAGTGAACAAAGGTCTCTGGTTTTCCTAGGCAGAGGACCCTGCGGCCTTCCGCAGTGTTTGTGTCCCTGGGTACTTAAGATTAGGGAGTGGTGATGACTCTTAAGGAGCATGCTGCCTTCAAGCATCTGTTTAACAAAGCACATCTTGCACCGCCCTTAATCCATTTAACCCTGAGTGGACACAACACATGTTTCAGAGAGCACAGGGTTGGGGATAAGGTCACAGATCAACAGGATCCCAAGGCAGAAGAATTTTTCTTAGTACAGAACAAAATGAAAAGTCTCCCATGTCTACTTCTATCCACACAGACCCGGCAACCATCCGATTTCTCAATTTTTTCCCCACCCTTCCCGCCTTTCTATTCCACAAAACCGCCATTGTCATCATGGCCCATCCCCAATGAGCCGCTGGGCACACCTCCCAGACGGGGTCGTGGCCGGGCAGAGGGGCTCCTCACTTCCCAGTAGGGGCGGCCGGGCAGAAGCGCCCCTCACCTCCCGGATGGGGCGGCTGGCCGGGCGGGGGGCTGACCCCCCCACCTCCCTCCCGGACGGGGCGGCTGGCCGGGCAGAGGGGTCCTCACTTCCCAGTAGGGGCGGCCGGGCAGAGGCACCCCTCACCTCCTGGATGGGGCGGCTGGCCAGGCGGGGGGCTGACCCCCCCACCTCCCTCCCGGACGGGGCGGCTGCCGGGCGGAGACGCTCCTCACTTCCCAGACGGGGTGGCTGCCGGACGGAGGGGCTCCTCACTTCTCAGACGGGGCGGTTGCCAGGCAGAGGGTTTCCTCACTTCTCAGATGGGGCGGCCGGGCAGAGACGCTCCTCACCTCCCAGACAGGGTTGCGCCCAGCAGAGGCGCTCCTCACATCCCAGACAGGGCGGCGGGGCAGAGGTGCTCCCCACATCTCAGACGATGGGCTGCCGGGCAGAGACGCTCCTCACTTCCTAGATGGGATGGCAGCCGGGCAGAGACGCTCCTCACTTCCCTGACTGGGCAGCCAGGCAGAGGGGCTCCTCACATCCCAGACGATGGGCGGCCAAGCAGAGACGCTCCTCACTTCCCAGACGGGGTGGCGGCCGGGCAGAGGCTGCAATCTCGGCTCTTTGGGAGGCCAAGGCAGGCGGCTGGGAGGTGGAGGTTGTAGCGAGCCGAGATCACGCCACTGCACTCCAGCCTGGGCAACATTGAGCACTGAGTGAACCAGACTCCGTCTGCAATCCCGGCACCTCGGGAGGCCGAGGCTGGCGGATCACTCGCGATTAGGAGCTGGAGACCAGCCCGGCCAACACAGCGAAACCCCGTCTCCACCAAAAAAAAACGAAAACCAGTCAGGCGTGGCGGCGCGCGCCTGCAATCGCACGCACTCGGCAGGCTGTCAGGAGAATCAGGCAGGGAGGTTGCAGTGAGCCGAGATGGCAGCAGTACCGTCCAGCTTTGGCTCGGCATCAGAGGGAGACCGTGGAAAGGAGACCGTGGAGAGAGGGAGAGGGAGAGGGAGGGGGAGAGGGAGAGAAAGCACATGGTTATATACTTATGACCTAACAATTCCATGCTAGGCTTTTATGGATTGGAATCCAAAGAAACTGTACAAAAAAGAATGATAGCAGCAGCAGTGTTTTTAATAACAAAACACCCAAAAGCAACCCAAATGTTCCAACAGAGGAATGGAAGTCATTAGACCACTTCCTACCAGCCCTACCATGTCTACCCAAGACTGAGACATCAACGTGGGGATCTCATGTTGAAATATGATCCTGATTGTTCCACGTGCCACACGATGGAATATCATACGGCAGTGAAAATCAGTGGACTTCGGCAGTAGACTTCTCCATGGAGGACTCTCTGCAACATAGTGTTAGACAAAAAAACTAAAGCAAATCACAGATTAATACAGTGTGATTCCACTGATGTGATGTTTGAGGCCTGCACACCTAAACTATATGTTGATTACACACACATACACACACAGACACATATATAGTACATACCTATTATAAATACTATAAAAAACGTAAAAGGAATATAAGCCCATGATAATAGTAGTCTATTGGGGAAAAGGAAGGACTCATGGAGTCTTCAAAGTTACTGAAAATGTTCTAGTTTTTAAGCTTATTGTTGAGCATACTGTTATTTCACCTTTCATGTAGTGTAAATATTTTTACACATCCAATATTTAGTTTAATATGTTAAAGAATATTTCATTTAATATTTTAAAGAAAATTTTAATTGGAGGAGGACCATTTCCTGATATTGAACTGTTAACAGAAGCAAAAAAGGGGCCTCACCCTTCCCACAGCTGGTGAGATTATCAAACCATGATTACTGAGAGATGGTGTCTAAAGGGCCTCCTATACAGGCAAGGTGGGAAGTAACCAGAATAGAACAGAATAGATCAACCAGGTGGTACATCTTCCAGGGATGCCCAGGATCAAATGCAGGGCTAATTTATGCTAAGTTGACAAAAGTACCTATTTTGGTCACTGTCCCTCCTTCCTGCAGCCCAGTGTGTCCCAGACCCCACCCACCCACTCAGGCATGCATGCTGCCCTCCCTTTACATTCCCAAAACTGGCACCCCTTGGTGAGTTGCAGAGCATGCTATATTTCTAAGTGCCATAGTTTGGATGTTTGTCCCCTCTAAATCTCATGTTGAGATTCAATCCCCATTATTCGATGCGGGGCCTAATGGGAGATGTTTGGCTCATGGGGGCATGAATAGATTCTGGGTTGTGTGAGTTGTCACCCTGTTAGTTCCCATGAATAGAACCCCTGGATTTGGGATGTGTGTGTTCTCACCCTATTAGTTCTCATAAGAGCTGGTTTTTTAAAAAATGGCTGGCACCCCAACCTTCTCTCTTGCTTCCCCTCTCACCACGTGATCTCTGCACACACTGGCTCCCCTTCCGCTTCTGCCATGAGTGGAAGCTCCCGGAGGCCTCCCCAGAAGCAGGTGCTGGTGTCATGCTTCTTGTACAGCCTGCAAACCATGAGCTAAACAAACCTCTCTTCTTTATAAATTCCCCAGCCTCAGGTATTCCTTTATAGCAACACTAAATGGACCAAAACACTAACCTTCACATCTTCATTAAAGCCCACAAACCCATGCCCATTGTCCACTTGCTCTTCTAGGACAAACTGAGTTACAAGGATTAAAAATTCTCACTAATACATGAAGACTAATACCTCCTGATTAATACCTTCATTCCTACATGTGGATTTTGTTTTCGTTCATTTTGGTTATGCAAAATTTTTGGCACCTGCCCCCTGCCTCAATTCCTCCCACACCAAGAAACCATCTCAGAGTCATTTTGCTTCTGCCAGTGAGTCATAAAATCATCCTGGCTTCAGAAAGGGAAGCCACCAGCCTCAAGGAGAGGGTCCATTCTACAAATTCTATAAAGAAATTCTCAGGTTATCTTATCTTCTCAGAAATAAAACAGATAAATCTATTGTTGTTTACATATTGAGGGGTATGTGGTTGAGGCATGGCCGGTGATACAGATAAATAATTTTAGGCTAAATTAAACATTTCATCATGTTGATCTGTGGCAGAATGCAGCTTTTAGACCACAATGCTACCGTTCCAATGACATTCACTTCACCCTCATCCTACAGAGCCCTTGGAGAAAGTGGTAATTGCCTACAAAGCTCATTGCACATTCTGGAGGTCCGTGCTGGCCCAGCCCTGCTAACTGTGATGGATGGACATTCTAAGCTGAGATGAGAGCAAAGGCTTTTTGCGAGACAAAAAGGCAACTGATTGTTTCAGGCATCACTCTTGAAGGATGTTCGTGTAACAACTTGCAAGGCCAAATTGGGATGATGCCTGCCTGACGCAGGGCTTGTCAAGGTGGGAGGCAGGTGTTGTAGTGGCCCAGGAGAGGCAAGCTTGATGATGCTGCTCAGAAGTTGTCCTCATCATGCTTATAGAAGGTTTAGTGTTGACCAGTGCCAATTCTATGCATGTTGTGATATGGGAAAACATGGCCTCTTCTGGGAAGAAGGGATCATCTTCTCTCCAGCAACACAACTCCAACAGCAGAATAATTTGATTGTAGGCAATAGCCTAAGTGTGCATTTCTTGGATTCTAAAGAACCCATTTCCTGTGGAATTTTATTGCTGTTAAAACTTGGATGAAGTTCAAATCATAGGCTTTCTAAAATAGTCAGAGGCCAGCTATAAATTTAAAGATGTGTGGGAAATATGAGTCAGTCGAGTCCATTCGGTTGCCCCAATCATTACTACTGAGATAGACTTTCTACGTAGGTTTATTCCTATTGTTGTCATGAGGGTCCGAGAAGGCACAAGAACTGAGCAAAAAACACACTTATTTTGAAGCATATACAGGGCACCTATAGTATGATGAGTCATTCTTCATTTTCAGATCGTTAAAAAGAAAAGTCCTTGAAATCTTGTTGCTGAACTCTTGTGGAAACTAGTAATACAGAAACTGAAAACAGAATTATTAGTAAATGTCTCACCTTCTCTGGTTCAGAGTTTTTTCGTTTTGTGAAAGAGAAATAATGCTCTTTCTGTTATCTTTGATTGAACAGGTGTTTGTGAGGTCCCTTGAGACCCATCAGGGAAAATGTAAAAGGTGCTATAAATTTTAAAATGTTATTTATTATGCATTGATGTTATTTAATAATAATACATTTGCCGAAAGCAAGAACTTCATTCATTGAGATTTGTGTCTCAGGTTTTATCATATCATGAATAGACTTTGTACACAAAGAAAAACTAAAATATTGCTAGTAAATCAATCTGGTACCATGATCCCAGTGAATAATGATAATTCCTTGACCTTCAATTAATGAGTGCAGGGATTGAGCTCCATTTAAGAAATGTGTGAAGAGAACAAGGCCAGATGCAGTGGCTCAGGTCTGTAATCCCAGAACTTTGGGAGGCGAAGGTGGGTGGATCGCTTGAGTCCAGGAGTTCAAGACCAGCCTGGACAACATGGCAAAACCCCGTCTCTACAAAAAAATACAAAAATTAGCCAGGCATGGTGGAGCATGCCTGTAGTGCCAGCTACTTGACAGGCTGAGGCAGGAGGATCATTTGAGCTCAGGATGCAGAGGCTGTAGTGAGCCAAGATCATGCCATTGCACTCCAGCCTGGGCAACAGAGCGAGACTCTGTCTCAAAAAAAGAAAGAAACAAATGTGTGAAGACAACAGGCAGAGAATGATAAAATCCATTCATATTTAAGAATCCTTACCTGGCCCTCCTAATGGAATATTCTAGAACCGTGTATACTTTCCAGGGTATGGAAAGTAGGAGTAATAGAAGGGCAGCACGTAATTATTAATAAAACTTTTCAAAGAGGACAGGAAACAAGACCTAAAGCGTTCTAGAAGTGGAGAAACTCACTTCAACCACAGACTATAAGACCAGACAAGTTAAGAAGTAGCACTTCCAGAACATCTTTGCATGTATACTTTTGGAGTAACATCTTCATCTCTGATCCTCCCCTGCATTTGAAATTGTTCTGAGATAGGGTGGACTGGGATTGTGGGGTGAGGGTAGGGTACAGACATAGACCAATCCAGCCGTCTTCAGATGAGTCATGAAGGAAGTCGAGAGATGGATGAGGACTTGGCCTCTGTGCTCTTCAAGATCCCTTCCACCCTGGAGAGTCTGTGTCCTGTGACTTCCCCAAAGAAGCTTTATTGCTCTTTCTGAAGATGCTTCTAGAACAGCATTGGGTCTTTCTTAAATCTCAGGTTTTCCCATTCTTTTTCCTTTCCATGATAGTGACCACTCCCATATAGACTTGCTTTCCAAATGGCGTGCTGCCTGGTTCCACATGTCCTCTTGGTGGGTGGCTGCCTGCCCCTGTTTGTTGTTCTCTTGCCTGGCTGCTGCTTCTCCCAGCCAGTGTGGACAGCAGGCTCGCTGCCCCTGATGTGCCATGGGGTCAGCACAGCATCAGAACTCTCAGGTGGACTTGGAAGCCCGCGCAGGACAGTCACAGCCCCTGGGGGCTTTACTAATGAGGCTACATGAACTGCCTCTCTGGTCGGCACTCCTCGGATCCCTCTCTTGCTTTTCTGTCACCTTTTCCTTGTATTCCCTAATCCATTATTGAATCATGTGTGCATTATGTCATCATCTGACACCTGCTGCATTCAGGGAATTGCCAGCATGGGCTCACTCCAGCTGTCCCTGCCTGGTTCTCTGGAGTTGGCACTCCTACCTTCAATGCATCGATTTGAATCATTATTTCCAAACCCAGACGTCTGACTGCCAGCTGTGTCTACTTATTTTTACTATCCCTTATACAGGCTGTTGCCTATAAGTCTTCAGAAGCTTGGCGATGGCTTTCTTTGACTTTCTTTATTGATGACTGCCCAGAAGGGCCCACACCGGTGTGAGTGGTACAGGGGATGCAGGGAACGCAAGCCCAGGCAACCCCCCTCCCACGAGCCTCCCTACAATTCCAGCAGTCTGTCCTGCCCCCCTATCTGGAGTAGCCAAGAACTTAGGTTTGTGCTGAGCATTTTTGAAGAGGCAGCAGGAAGGCCAGAAGCACATCCTGCTATCACAAAATAATACTCCATCTTTCAGGATCGTGAAAATTTGAGTTATAAATTACGTGATACAGATTCTAAATTATGCAAGACTTCACAAGAGGTCAGGTGAAGGCTGGATGGCCTCAGAAGGATGGCTTCAGAAGGCCTTCAGAAGGATTGCTACAATTCATCATGCACAAGGTGTTGAGGGTCTGGAGCAGGGAAGGAATCGGGGGCATCTGAATGGAGAAATGGGGACTTGATGGAGGATTCATGAAATGATTTTTAGGATACTTGAGGGCTTGGGAGGAATACACACAGTCTGGAAAGTCCCCCTGCTTAAGGGTGCCACAATCCAGCTCCCGGAGGCATCCAGATGAAGCAAAAGGTAAGACTGACCAGCACAAGTGACTGTGGACCGCATACTCATTACATGCTGCACATGGTAGCATTTGTGTACAAAATAGGCCACATGCTGGATAGTGTTTTGGTTAAAAAAAAACCATCACATGCATTGAACTCCACTTTTAAAAGGAAAAACAGATACAAAGTCAGTTATCTATGGTCTCCATAGCTTGATTCTTAAAAATTGGGGTTAGCGAAATGTTGATAGTTCTCAGGGGGAAATGTGAACGTTGGTTCTAATTAAAACTGTCTTATTGGAATTTCCAGGCAGCTGGAGAACAAATACAAAAATCTTAATTAAAAGACCGTTTTGTGAGGTCTTCAACTTCTTCTCCATTTCACCAACACGCTGCACAGTCTGTGTATTCAGCGTCACCAAAGAGATTTTTAATTCATCAGCCTGGTTTTTGTGGATTGTTCGTTGCCTTCTCAGTGCTGTAACACATAGAGACACTGGTACAGGCATTAGGAAGGATGGGAGAAGATACCAAATGGTATAAGACATGGTCTGGTATTTCCAGGGATAGGATCATCCATTTAGGAAAACAGCTACATAGAGACATGCACAACATTACAAAGAAACTCGAGAAATTTCACAGAAAACAGCACATAATCAATTGTCAAGTGGGATCCCTGGATAGTAACTTCAGGAAAGAGGAATGTCTGTGAGTGAGCACACCAAGGCCAGGGCACGAGACGCCAGGGCTCCCTGCTGACAGTAGGATAATGCACTTCTCTGCTCATCTCCTAACCACACTTGGAAAAGCCATCCAAGCCAAGGCGATTGTGATGGTGCAGATTCCAACTGCTGAGGAAGAACACCCTGGCTGGTGACTTTGCCCCTAGTCCTTGTCTATCTAGTCCTCACAAACATTAATCTTCAATGTTGTATACAAAAGCAGACAGAATTCTGCATTTCAAGGACTCTATTTCTGTCTTAAAAGTGGCATGCAGGCTTGGAGGATGCCAAAGAACAAAAAATGCCATGCAGAATACTAGAGAGGGATTTTATTTGCATTAAATGAAAAAGAATGAGTTCTCCATCAATGCCCTACTTCTTTCTTCATATACCACATTCCCACCCACTCCTATTCTATTCCAGACCCTCACCACCTTGTGACATATATTGCCACAACCCTTCTGAAAGCCTCCCTCATCGGAAAATCCAAAATCTGAAATGCTTCAAATCTGAAGGTTTCTGAGCACCGACAAGACCCAAGTGGAAAATTTCACACCGGACCTCATTTGATGCGTCACAGTCAAAACGTAGTCAAAGCTTTGTTACATGCACAAAATTCTTTAAAATATTGTAGAAAATTACCCTCAGGCTATGTGTACAAAGTGTATCAGAAACGTAAATGGTTTTCTTGTTTAGACTTGGGTTCCGTCCCCTGAGATAACATCATTGTGGATATGTAAACATCCCAAAATCCCAAAAAAAAAAAAATTAGAAATTCAAAATACTTCTGGTCCCAAGCATTTTGGATAAGGAATACTCAGCCTATATCTCATTCATTAAGATATCAATTTCATTCCCCTGAATTCCTTATTTTATGTCACCCCTAGTTAAGAGAACACAGATTCTTTTCTCAATATTGCAGAGACAGAGGGATGCTCAAAACTCCTACATCAGCTGAGATAGATAGGTGGGTGGGTTGGCTTGTAGGTAGGTAGTTAGGTAGGTAGATAGACAGACAGACAGACACACACACACACACAAACATACACACACAACACATATCCTGAAACAGACACACATCACTCAGGTCCTGACCTCAGATAGTCAGTTTTCCTGCAGTATGTTCTCCGATCAGGTCAACTCTGATAAATGAAACATCATTGGTAAGTATTGAAAAAAAAAAAATATATATATATATATATAGCACAGAAGATGCTGCTGCTGCTGCTGCTAGCTAACATTTGTTTAGTATTAATATGTGCCAGGTACTATTCTAAGCACTGTGCACATATTAAATAATGTAAACCGAATAAGAACTCAGTAGAGTAGGTACCTTTATTTTCTTCATTTCCATATAAGACTGAGGCACCAGCAGCTTTCATCCTTTGCGCAACACAACACAGCTATGAAATGAAAGAGTCAGAAGATGAGCTCAGGTGGTCCAAGCCCAGAGCCCACACTCTTCATCATATATGAGGCAACATTGGGAGAGGGTAGGTAGTTGCTATGAGACCTAGTAATGGTCATCAACTCAGCATTTTATCACCCCTTTTTACAGTTAATTAAGTAGGATATTTTAATGCAACAGAAATCAGGACAAATTCTCATTATAGCCAGTCTGTAAAGAGAAATGCTAAATTAAGCCTCTTCAATTTCAGAAATGCTGAAATCTAGTATATTTCCGGTCCTCCAACATGATGCGGCTATGGACCTGAGATAAGCTCTGAATGCCTGTCTTTTCTCATCCACAGTGAGACTCATTCACCAGAATCTGTGCATGTTCAGAACAGAGAGACTTAGAAGCTAGAGGAGGTCACGCAAGGTCGTGTAGCAGAGGCAGTGCTGGGCAGCTCAGTGTGGGAGACCCTCCCAGTATCCCTCTACTGTGTATAAGGCAGAGTACACATTCTAGATAACATTACAGCTTATTGTACATGGATTCTAACTAACTCAGTAGAAAGCTTCATGAAGATGGGAGCTGTGTCCTGTTGATCCATATCTATCACCAGGACCTGGCCCAGTGCCTGAGACAGAAGACATAACGGGTAATTAACAAGGAGGATTATGCACAGGAGAACAAACAGAACACACCTCTCTATTGCGACAACTCTCATTCAAGCAGACTTATTCTCCAGGCAGGTCACGTTCTATGCCTGTATTTCTGCTTTATAAATGGCTTGCAGGCCTGGCAGGTGCCAAAGAAAAAATAAAATGTCATGCAGAAAAATAGCGATTTTATTAAATGAAAAATGAGGAAGACTCTTATTTGGATGTTAATGGAATCCAGCTAGGGCCTTGCTATAAATAACATTTGGTGCCCAGCATCTGGCCTCTTGCCACTGGCATCAACAGTGAAGCAGGTGGAGGGCAAGAGGGGCTGATGTGGGCACCCAGGGGGAGTTTGGGGGTGTTCCTCTTCCCCTCAATGCTGGGCTTTCTCTGAACACTCATAACTTAAAATAGCAGTTTCTCAATTGTTTAAGAGGAAAGGGGAAAGACCAGAGCCATTCTCACAGGGATGATGGTGCCCTTCTCTAATGTCATCCCAGCCCTTGGCTCTTCACAAAACCATCATCCACAGTCCAATGAGAGAAACTAAATCCAGCTACCAGGGCTCTGTGTGGCCGGCGGTAGGTTGGGGGTTGAGGGGGAGTGTCCTCCCTGTCCCTGTGGATGAAGGTAATGGGGAGAGGCCAGCAGGCAGTGAAATGAGTGAGGGAGAGACAGGATGGTGTGGTTTGGAGGCTGCTGGACCGCACTTGTCAGATGTCATTGTTTTCTGGCTAGGAAGCTTTGGAAGAGAGGCAGCTCACCAAACAGCCGTGTGCTATAGCCAGAATCTCTAGCCCAAAGGGGAATCCCTTTACCCAGACACACTGGCCATCTCAGCACGACTCAAAGGCATCTTTACATCAGTGCTGCATAGGTAGAAAAACGTTTTCTACATTTCTGGCCCTTTACTTTAGTACTCTTCTAAATTATTGGCATTGGAAGTGGGTTTGTGTTCTAGCCCAAAGTCTTATGAAATGCTAACTGAACTTTACTAAAGAAAATACACAACAAAGGGTGCCACTGTTTCCTCCCACCCTGTCTATCAACTTCAGTACAGATTCCTATTGTTCTCTCATCATAACCAAGTAGAAATGGTATGCCTGCAAGGATGCAGCAATACACTGTGGATAGAAATTAGGACAAACAAGACTGATGGTTTTATATTTGTTTTCTGGAAGGCAAACGACACTGCGAAATGAGAGAGGAAATGGCTGACAAAGAAGTTATTAACTCTAAAAGGAGGATGTGCGGCATCACTTGGGAAAAAGAAAGACTAAAACAGCTGGGCGCGGTGGCTCACGCCTGTAATCTCAGTTGTTTGGGAAGCTGAGGAGGGAAGATGGCTTAAGCCAAGGAGTATACAACCAGCCTGGGCAACATGGTGAAACCCCATCTCTACAAAAAATACAAAATTAGCCAGGCATAGAGGCATGCGCCTGTGGTCCCACCTGCTCAGGAGGCTAAGGTGGGAGGATTGCCTGAGCCTGGGGGTTGGAGGCTGCAGTGAGCCACGATCACGCCACTGCACTCCAGTCTGGGCAATAAAGCAAGACCCCATCTCGAAAAAAAAATAAAAGGGCCGGGTGCGGTGGCTCATGCCTGTAATCCCCGCACTTTGAGAGGCCAAGGCTGGTGACCACCTGAGGTCAGGATTTTGAGACCAGCCTGGCCAACATAGTGAAACCCCATTGCTACCAAAAATACAAAAATTAGACTGGTGCAATGGCACGGGCCTGTAGTCCCAGCTACTCAGGAGGCTGAAGCACAAGAATTGCTTGAACCTGGGAGGCAGAGATTGCAGTAAGCCAAGACTGCACCACTGCACTCCAGCCTGGGCAACAGAGCGAGACTCTGTTTCAAAAGAAAAAAAAAAACGAAAAAAAAAGAGAAAAAACTAAAGCTGAGTTGTCATTCGCATTTCTTTCTCCTAAGATAACTTTTTGTGGGACTTGATTGGCCTCTTAGTCCTTTCAGGTTGCTGTAACAAATGACCATAGACTGGGTGGCTTTGACAACAAATATGTACTTCTCACAGTTCTGGAGGCTGGGAAGTTCAAGATCAAGGTGCTAGCAGATCCAGTGTCTGATGAGGACCTATTTCCCGGTTTGCAGAGAGCTGTCTTCTTGTTGTACCCTTATGAGGCAGAGAGAGCAAGCTCTCTTTTGTCTCTCTTACCAGGCCATTAATCCCACTGTGAGGGCCCCAACGCCATGACCTCATCACCTTCCAAAGGTGCCTCTCTGATACCATCACACTGGGGGTTAGGATTCAACATATGAATTTTGGCGGTGTGAACCCTGAATATCTGAGACAGGTATCAGTCAATTTAGGAAGTTTATTTTGCCAAAGTGAAGGATGTGCGCTCCTGACAGCCTCACGAGGTCCTGATGACATGTGCCCAAGGTGGTCCGAGCACAGCTTGGTTTTATGCATTTTAGAGAAACATGAGACATCAATCAATATATGTAAGATGAACATTGGTTTAGTCTGGAAAGGTGGGATGGCTCCAAGCAAAGGCAGGACAACTGTAAGTGGGGAGGGGACTTCCAGGTCATAGGCAGATAAGAGACAAATGGTTACATTCTTTTGAGTTTCTGATGAGCCTCTCCAAAGGGGGCAATCAGATATGCATCTATCTCAGGGAGCAAGGGGTGACTGAATAGAATAGGAGGCAGGTTTGCCCTAAGCAGTTCCCAGCTTGACTTTTCCCTTTAGGTTAGTGATTTTGGGGCCCCAAGATTTATTGCCCTTTCACAGGGGGCACACAAATTTAGTCCATAACAGCTTTTTAGGTGGGTTTTAAAACAGAAATCGGAAGACAGAGGGGAGACGAACATGAGGCTTACAATTTTTGATTCCCTGCTAGTCTGAGGGCCCAGAGAGTGAGGGACAGAGAGCCAGGAGCTGAGTGTGTCAGTAAGTCAGAGAAGAACATCGGCATGGTGTTCAAACAGACCTTCACAGATGGTGGGAAGTGGAGAACCTCACTGAAATCGTGCAGGGCTAGGAGCCCAGCACCCAAGTGAACATGGGCAAAATGTCTGGGAAATACCAGGCTGCCTGTGGAGTGGGCCTGGGTCGGCTGCTTACAGGGTGGGTCTAGAATAGAAAAAATGATTATGGCCAAAGCCTGCCTCACAGTGGAGAATAAAAACTAAAAATGCTAATTTGTGAATTGGTCCCATTTAAGGTTCTTTTCTCAGACCTTGGCTTTGCTCCATTCATTATGTTTTCTCCATCCCATCAAATTAGGGATGTGTTTTTCTTTCACAGGCACATTAGTTGGACTTTCCTAGACTGGCAGCATATCAGATAGGATAACTCAATTCAGGTAACAAATGATCACACTTGGCAATGGCTACATAAGTTGGAACCTGGCTCATTAAGTGACTCATGGTTCAACTACCTAGAGGGGTCTCCTCTGTGGTCTTTGATCCTCACACAAGAGCCACACAGAGCCCTACCCTAACAGAACATTTGCCTTCCCTTCCCATATAGAACATATTAACTAACATTTCAATGGCAGGGATTCCTCATTGGCTTCAATCCATTGCACATTAAAGAACATTCCTGCTTCCTTCTCAGCCCATGGCTTCCCCCAAAACGAGGGGGCCTACCAAATCATTTTAGGCAACAAATAGGCTTCCTCCTAAACTTTGTCTTCTCCTTATTCTTGCTGACCATCTGCTCTCAGATGCCTAAGCACATTGGTGATACAGAGAAGGGGCTATAATTAGAGTAAGAGTAACTAATGGCTGTTTAAACCTTTCTACTGAGAATCATCATTAGATATATTCACTCTGTAGCTGAAACCGGTTTTCTGTTTATTGGAAGCCAATGGAGAGAAGAATAACCCAAGTGACCAGGAAGTCTCAGCACAATATTGAGCTTGACAGCCTTCAGAATGGAGTGTGGGTAGAACAAGAAAATGGCTGAGTAAAGCTGAATTAAAGACAGGAAGCATGGTGACGAGGCCCTTTCACAGCCTGGGATGATTCTCCCAAGGTCAAGACAGTCTTTACATGTCATTATGAAGAGCCACATTTCTCAGCACTCACCACGTGCTGGTGTGGTACTAAGCACATGTGCGTACTCTATCTCACTTCCACCGCACAGTCATCCTGACAGGTAAGCATAATGACTGTGTTCCTTTTGCAAATGGGGAAACTGAGGCTCAGAGAGATTGAACAACTTGTCATTTGTCACAGGCAGAATTTGCACCCAAGTAGGACTCCAGATCCTACCTGGCTTACTCACTACTCTGCCCTCATCCCAACCAGAATGCTGAAGTTCTGTGTGCACCAGCTGGGGCTCCCATATGAAGGGCTGCGGATCCTGCACAGCAGCTTGGGTTCCATGCTGCATGCCTTCCTAAAGGCGGGAGTCAGCCAAGGGCATGCCTTCCCAGCCTACTGTGTTCTTATGTGAGTGTTATGGGCTAAATTGTGTCCCCCCCCCATGCTCAAATTCATATGCTGAAGCCCTAACCCCCAGTACTTCAGAATGTAACTGCATTTGGAGATAGGTCTTTACAGAAGTAATTAGGTAAAAGTGAGGTCCTTGGGCTCTGATCCAGTCTGACAGGTGTGCCTATAAGAAGAGGAGATGAAGACACAGAAGGGTGATGGTAGGAAGACACAGTGAGGAGATGGCCATCTACAAGCAAAGGAGAGAAACCCAGAAGAAACAGCACTGCCAACACCTTGATCTCAGACTTCTAGCTTCCAAATCGTGAACAAATAAGAATGTGTTAAGCCCCCAGTCTGTGGTGCCTCCTTATGGCAGCCCAGGCAGACCCAGACATACAAGTTTGCAGCCCTTGTTTGCTCTTTGTACCCATTTGGCAGAGCAGAGTGGATCAAAGTCAGTCTCCATCCATTATGAGCACTTTTTCATTGGAAACAGTGATGTAAGAAGATGTTAAAACAGACTTTTCAAAACATCTCAGAACAACAACAACAAAATAGCTGGTAGTTTAAAATAGAATCCTGAGACATACATCATGGGATAAATCTATGCAAACAAAGTAGGCAGCTCAGTTTTGTTCTTGAACTGGAAAGGGGTCCATAATAAATGGTGACTAACCCACACCTCCAAGGTGACCTTCAAATGGCTCCACCTTTCGCTTGGAAAGAGATGCCCTGTGCTGCCAGATCCTGTGAATCAACCGTATCGAGCTTATGTGAAGACTTCTGTTTACTTTGTCTCGGGGGTAGAGTACATTGTGAAGACCCAACCAACCACGCGCTCATCTGTTCTTCATCATGTCAAATCACTGTCAGAGCTGCAGCCTTGGCCAGGGAGCAAGGAGCACGCAATGGCTGTGAGGCTGAGGCTCGGCTTAAGCGCTGTTTTTTTCCAAAGCACGCATGTCCCCTGGTACGTCTTGTGAAGTGGGATCCTGTCTCACAGCCCTGTGGAGTGAGCTGCCAGATGGAACAAAGGCCTCTCTCAACACCCTCCGGCATCATTGTGCCCAGATGCACACAGTGCCTGTTAGTCACTCTCTGCAGGAAAGAAATAGCCATAATCCTTCGCTAGACAGCTACTGCTGTGCTCAGTTTGGAGGAATAAATAAGTGCAGCGGACCCACCAGGCTGATACTCAGTCTCTATTGCCAGCCAGGACTAGAGTCTCCAGTGCTTATCTGATCTACAAGCCTGCTAATGGTGTGTGTGAGCCGTGTGAGCCTCTAGGCCCCTCCTATGTCCTTAGTACATGATACAGATGGGGCTGGACCCTGAAATTGGTGGTCTTCTCCCACCCCTGCCCTTGGCCTGGGTCTGACCTCAGAAGACAGCCCCACTCACAGTCCAGAGCAGGGCCTTCCCTTGCTGTCTAACCAGGCTGCCTATCCTGGAACCCAGCTGAACTTTTACTTAGCCTTGCTGGGGAGGGCCTTACCCATGTGGGAGATGCCCCAGCGACCAGGTGTGTCTCCCTCAACCAGCTGGGGGAGAATGAAAGATGGCAGAGCACCGCCAAAAGAAAACTGGTTCCATGCAAGTGTGAGCTGCTCTCACCCAGTTCTTTTTGATGTTCTCTTTGCACTCCCCATTCAAAAGCTCCCCTCACTTCTCTAAGGTCCCCCATTTAGCTCCTGACCCAAATCCGAACTCCTCCTCTCTGGGCCTGGCATTGGCATGGGTTGTTCTTGTACGCACATTGTGTTAACGGTTGCAGTGTGCCAGGCCACCATCCTTTCTGACAGGCTGTTTTAGTGCATAAACCAATAGTTGTGACAATGATCCTTGGGGAATGGGTTATTAAAGGTGATTGTGAAGTCTCCCCTTCTGAAGCTCTGTACAAACAAGACTAGAAAGAGAACCTGGAGAACTAGATTACTTCTTGAAGATTACGCCAAACCACGAGGTGCTGTTCTTTCTTAAAAGAAATAAAGAAAAATGCTTCCTGCCACCCAGAAACAGCCTTGGATGTTAGTCTTTGAGTGAGCACATGAGTAGCATCAGGGCCATGGGATTGAAGAAAATGTCCCACCTCCATCTCCATTTGGGGACAATGAGGGAATGCACCTCTTCATCCCGTGCAGGGCCCCGAAACACACTTCCTGAGGGATGACCAATTCCATGGTCAACTCCCATCAGGCTGGGCCAAGCCAACGTGCACATCAGCATAAGCCAAATTTTAATTTTGTAGGATTGATTTTTTAACTACCTTTCCTTCTTATGCTTTACCCACCAAGTATTCTTTAAACACAAAAGACAGATATTTTGTGATCATTACTGTCATTTTCTCCATCCACAAGTAACTAAGAATAAACAATTGTGCAACTCACTGCTAATTAGCAGCCCTGGGTTTAAGTCCACCTGATGCTTTGTTGAAGTTATTGTGGAATGCAAAGTAGCACTGCAAACCAAAAGATACTTGGATTGGTCCAGTTGTTCCTAAGGCAGACGGATACTAACAAGAGGGAGATTTAATGGACTGCATAATGTTGGCTGCTACGGAAAGATAGCTGAATTCTAGAATCATTGAGAGGGAAGAAATCATTAAAAGAGGGAGAATCCCCCATAACAGAGAATACGGGCCTGGATGATCAACCATCACAGCTCTTATCACCAGCAGACACTACACAGGCACTCTGCAGTGGAAATGGTGACAGGGAATAAAAATTGCAGTGCCAAGACATTACAGCATGAGAATGATCAGCCTTGGTACCTAGGAATTTGTAATTATCATAGTAAAGAGCATTTGCAGTACCAATACCCCTTTTGTAGCTCTTATACATGTCAGCAATCTTTAGACACAATATCAAATTAAATATTTTTTTGAGACAGGGTCTCACTCTGTCACCCAGGCTGGAGTGCGGTTGTGCAATCATAGCTCATTGCAGCCTCAAACTCCTAGGCTCAAGCGATCCTTCCTCCTCAGCACCAGGAGTAGCTGGGACTACAGGTGCACACCACCACACCTGACTAATTTTTTAATTTCTTGCAGACATGGGTCTCACTATGTTGCCCAGGCTGGTCTTGAACTCCCGGGCTCAAGCAATCCTCCCACCTTGGCCTCCCAAAGTGTTGGGATTATAGACATGAGCTACGGTGCCTGTCCAGATAATAACTTTTTAAGATAGGTTTTATTATCTCCATTTTGTAGATGACAAAATGGAGGCTCAGAGAAGAAAATTAACTTTCCCAAGATCTCACAGCTAGGAGGTGATAAGGGCAGAATTCAAGCCCAGATGTGTCTGACTTCTATGTCTATGCACAAGACAACTGTTTGCCACATAGCACGTGGCTGCCCCTCCACCTACTCCTGCTCATGTTCCACATAAATATTTCCTTCGCACTCTTCATCTCCCTGTGTGAGTGGTTACTGGAACTATCAGTTTGGTTTCAGATAGGATTCATGCATCTGGCAGATGCAAATGGAGCTCTTTCTGTGTGCCTGGACTGTTGTAGTGGCCTGGACAATGTTGGAAGACGTAAAAGAGAAAGCAAAGTGCCTTTGATTGTGATCGTGCCTCTTGTGTCAAAGAATTCAAAAGACTAAGCAGGGAAAGGAGGGGTTACTGAAAGTCCAGACAGAGATGGGGGCGAGAGAATGCCTGGCCCTTCCAAATGCAGGCATCCAGGTAACTCGTTCTGAATGATGATGCTCCGGGGTATCAACAGAACTAGCAAGTGAGGCTACTGACTCACAGCTCTTTGAGGAGCTTTGTAGAGAAAGGAGAGCAGAATAGAGACAGGCAAGGGAAGAGGAATTCACACTTGTATGCATGATTTTGATCCCAGGTCAGGTACTAGAATGGTTCCAAACGGAATGGTTTGTGAGCCTTTAAATTAACAAAAGTGGCTTTTGCCGTATCTACTGCAAGAATGAAGACCATTCGCAGAAATCAGACTATAGATGTTCCAGAAATTGTCAACATCCCTCCGAAGAGATGCAGTTAATTGTATAGGGCCACAGGGGAACCCTGCAGAGGAGCTTCAGCTGCATCAATGTAGAACTCAGTCTCCTTGGCAAACAAAGAAGCAGCTCTGGGTTGACAAAATGGTAGGAAAATAGGAAGGAGGTGGCTACTCTTCACACTACGTGTAGACTCATGCACAGAACATGATCAAGGACATTTCACTGGGCTTCCCTCAGAAGATGAGGCTGCTCACTTCCCCCATCAACATCCTTATCCAGAAGAATGGGTCTCTTGTTGAAATCTGAAATTTCTTGGGTGGAAAATACATCCGCA
The DNA here is from genome assembly GCF_000001405.40 of Homo sapiens. Classification (NCBI taxonomy): domain Eukaryota; kingdom Metazoa; phylum Chordata; class Mammalia; order Primates; family Hominidae; genus Homo; species Homo sapiens. The sequence goes on from NC_000001.11 coordinate 234,285,340, forward strand.
GGGTTCAGATGAGGCCAGGTGTTGCTTGTTCAGTATCTCAAGCCAAGAGAGATGAATTAATCCTTGAAGAAAATGACGTTGAGCTTGTTTCCAGCTCAGCAGGTCTGATTCAGCAAGTTGCAACAGTAAAAACAAGTAAAAACAGAAAATTTTGGGGTGCCATCTATGTCTCTGTAACAGGAACAGTTCAGCAGGCTGATGAATATGATCTAAGAGTTGTCCAGCTACAGACACAGATGCCAGATGATTCCTAAGACTTATTTGTGATATTTTAATGATGCAATAACAGACCTATTAATTGGAGACTTTTTCTTAAACTGAAAAACATTAATTAGTTATTAACATAGGTAGTGATTAGTAGGAGGCAGCTCACGTTCTCTGAGGATACATCATGTCAATCAAGCGCCATTTCCTTTGTGGGTGAGGATTCCTGAGGGGTAGCGGGAGAATGTGTGGTGGACACTGTGTAACTGAACTCCAGCAAAGCAGCTGATCTCATCATGGAAGAGGCTTTAATGGAGAAAGAAGAGTTGAAAGTAAGGCAGGTAGGGGTTAGAATAATGGCCCCAAAGATGTGTGTCCCTTATCTCAGTCAACCCAAAGGGAAATTTCTCGGGACTTATAACTGGGCTTAGTCCATCACCTTGTCTGGTTCAATATTTTTATCAATGACTTTGGTAAAATCATAAAACTTACATTTGTAAAAGTTATCAATGACACAAAATCAGAGAGCATAGTGATATCGTATGTGTTAAAATCAGGATCCCAAAAGGTCTGATAATAACGTTTTAAGATAGGTGTTATTATCTCCATTTTGTAGATGACAAAATTGAGGCTCAGAGAGGAAAATTAACTTTCTCAAGATCTCACAGCTAGGAGGTGATAAGGGCAGAATTCAAACCCAGATGTGTCTGACTTCTAAATCCATGCACAAGACAGCTATTGGCTACAACTGGCTGGCTGGAAAGAAGGGCCAAATAGAACAGAAAATTTAATAGGAATAAATGTAAGGTATCCACATGGATCTATAAGATACAGGAACAGTGGCTGGGGCCAGGGGCGGGGGCGGGCAGCCCGAATGCCACAGGTGGGAAAGGGATTTTGATGGATTATAACTTTACCGTGAGTTATGTGCATGATACAGCCACCCAAAAATCTGATGTAATCCAGTTATGTAACAAACTGTAGTAATTTGAATTAAGGATATGACAGCATTGTTCTCTTCTGCAATGACTGGATAATACTAGTAATATTATGTGGGGCCACATTTTAAGAGAGACACAGGTGAGAGTCCATGAGGATGATGAGGGAGCTCAAAATGAACTCCTACAAGAAGCAACAAACATTTGATTGTCTCTCTAAACAGAAAACGTATTAGATGGGTTTTAAGAAGTAGAATTAGGAACAATATGTAAAAGTTATATGGAGCTAGAAAATAAAACAGGATAAAAGGGGAAACTTCTGTCACGACATGACAAAGGCGGATTTCCTCAAACGTTGTGAGTTTTGCGTTAGTTCAAAAATAAATAAATAAATAAAAGTAACTATGGCTGGGCACAGTTGCTTATGCCTGTAATCCTAGCATTTTAGGAGGCCAAGGCAGGAGGATTGCTTCAGGCCAGGAGTTTGAGATCAGCTTGGGCAACATAGCAGGCTGTGTTACCCAGCCTACAAAAGTTAAAGTTTCTACAAAAAGTTAAAATTAAAAAATTAGCTTGGCACGGTGGTGTGTACCTTTAGTCCCAGCTACTTGGGAGGCTGCGGTAGGAAGATCACGTGAGCCTGGGAGTTCCAGGCTCCAGGGAGCTATGATCAATCCACTGCACTCCAGCCTGGGCAACAGAGTGAGACCCTAAAAAATAAATAAAAATAAAAATTTAAAAAGCAACTAATGTTAATTATACAGCAGCCAGACACTGCATTTTGCCACATACACTCTCATTTTACCTTCACAATAATTCCTTAAGATATGCCTTATACCCATATGAGACATAAACATTCATAGAGGTTAAATAATTTACACAAGTCACATAACAAATAAGTGAAAGAGTAAGGATTTGGTTCCACAACGGCCCACCACCAAAATCTGTGACCTACTAGGACAGGTTGACTATTGAGCCTTCCTAAGGAGGGGTATATGTACTTCCAAAAAGATCACTAATAATAATAGTAGCTAACATTTATTGAATACTTACTATATCCCAGGCACTAACCTAAGCACCTAACACAAAGCAGTTCATTTCATTCACCCGACAACCATAAGGAGTGAATATTAGTATCCCATGTTATAAATGATGAAGGTGAGACACAGAGAGGTTAAGGAAGCCGACTCAAGTCAGTATCCTACCCAGGATTTAAACCCAGGCAATCTGGCTCTAGGGCCCATCAATGAAGGGCCACTGCAGTGTAGTGAAAACTTTTGCTTGAGGATGTAAGACTTAAATATGTGGATAGGATCATTCACTTTGTCTGTAAGCTTAATTTTCCAATTCCTTCATTTGCATTTACTTTGGATTGAAAGACTATTGCCTTGAACTTGGAATTGGTGGCGAAATTTTTTTTAGAGAGGTAGAGTCTTGCTTTGTCACCCAGGCTGGAGTGCAGTAGCACAATCATAGCTCACTGTAACCTTGAACGCCTGAGCTCAAGCAGTCCTCCTGCCTCAGCCCCCCAAGTATCTAGGACTACAGGTGTGCATCACCACACCTCACTAATTTTGTATTTTTTGTGGAGACTGGGGTCTCGCTATGTTGCCCAGCCTTGTCTTAAACTCCTGGCTTCAAGCAATCCTCCTGCCTCAGCCTCCCAAGGCACTAGGATTACAGGTGTAAACCACCACGCCTAGCCTGCTGGGAAAATCTTTATGTAACCCAAACGTCAAGTGCAGCAACTACACCATAATACAGACCCTCCCCGCCGCCACTTTCCCCAAGCCAGGAGCAGCTGCGAAAACAAAGAAGGCAGTAAAATTCACAGCATTAGGAAATTGACATGGCTGAATTCAATCTATAAAATCTATATAAATCATTATGCATTTAGTGCTTTTCAAAATAACCCCTGTAACTCTTATGGTTTAGAGACTATTAATAACATTTTCTGAAATGCAGTCAGACTAGTCGCTGTGTCCACTGTGATTTGGTAAAAAATATGAAGGATGTTTTTAGTCTATGTCTGTTGGCAGCATGAGAGATTAGACTCAAGCCTCAAAGGATTTCCCATAAACTGACGTCTGTCCTTTTTGAAGGAAGGGTATGGCAAGAAAGAAAAGATAATCAAGGAGTTTCTCTCATGCCAGCCTCTTTGCTGATTGCTCAACTCATATCATCTCATTTTCCTGCTACCACCACAGTTTCACAAAGTTGCTATTCAAATGTCCATTTTCCTGATAAGGAAACTAAGGATCCCAAAGATTCTAGAAGATGCATATGGCTCCATTATTGATAAATAGTGGAAGCAGGGTTCAAACCCTTGTCTTTCTGGCTTCAAAAATTATCATGCCTTATTCACTGATCCACACTGCCTCCTGATCAAAGCAGGAGGAACTAGGGGCTGAGAGATCCAAAGGGTATAGCTTGAATGTTACCCATTTCAAATGGGATTATTTCCTCTGGGACTCATTCAGAAGCTCTGGCTTCCTCAATCACTTAGACAAAGAATAATAAGCATCACACTCACAGTAATCCAGGGGAAAAGGGGGGAAGAGAAAGCATAGCCATGATGAGCACAATTTTGAGGCAGAGGCAGTGCCCAGAGCCTTGAAAAGTGAATTAATTGATGTCCAATGACGTCATGGCATTTGAGCTTCCTTAGGAGAGGATCACCCCCCTGGGGTCCTGGGGCATACAAAAAGCCTTTGTCTCTGAAATTTCCCATCACTGTGTAGACCACATTGGCTTGAGAAATTCTGTCCCTGTTCTGCTCCAAATATGATAGGAATGCTGAATAAAATTCCACACAAGTTTAAAGAAAATACATACTGTTCTTGAAAATAAGGAATGGAAGGCGACAGGTGCCAGAAATGAAGAACCAAACTTCCCACCGGGCTACTAGAATTAACTACATATCCTGGGGCTGGGTTAAGTCTGTAGGCCTCCCACCTTACTGGAAATATGACTGTACCTCTCTATATAAAGGTGGAAATCCAAGAAGGGCCTTCCCACACATCAAAGGAGACTGGAGTAACTCTGCCTATCAGACCAGCGTTATGGCACAGAAATCACCCACCCTTGGGATATGAGAAGAAAAAGTCACCTGTTAGAAATTGGAACCTCAAGTTCATGCCATGTGCAAGTATGGAGTCCAAATTCACATTAGCCAAACAGAACCAAAACTGTGAGCTAAGAAATTAACAGAGAAGCCAACCTGAGACTGGGGAAACACATACAGTCCCGGCAGAAGTAAACATGAAACTGTCCCATGGGAACATCTCTACAGTACCACACAGATAGTATTTTAAAAACAAAACAAACACCCACTAAAAGTGATCCCAAAGTCAAAACTTATAAATCACAAAGTAAACCAAAACATTATGAAAGAGAAAGTTAGCAAACAACAACAAATGGTGGAACTTACATCCCAGGAGCTGCTGCACAAACCAAAAGAGCTTTATTAATAGTATGTTTAAAGTTTTCAAAGAAAGAAGAGGGCATTGCACATGAAGAACAAAATTGGAAACTATAAGCACTCCAGAAGGAAAAAATAGTTATAATTTTTTAATGATGAGTTAAGCTATAAACCAGACACAGCTCAAAAGAGAATTAGTGAATTGGAAGATCATTCTGAAGAAATCATCCAAAGTAAAGCACAGAGATATAAAGTGATGAGAAATACAAAAAATAAATGAAGAGATATGGAATGACAAGACACAATGGAATGTTAAGAGATGATAAGAAGCTGTAACATTTACTTCATAGGAGCTTCAGAAGCAAAATGAAGAAAATGGGGAGAAGAAATTGTTTTAAAGAATAATCACAAGAAAAAAATTCTCAAAAATGATATGATATAAATTTTTAGAATATAAAACAGTAAACTACAGGTAAGGGTGAATAAAATATATCAGACTGAGACATATTGTAAGTCTCATATACTCCAGCACATATAAAAAGTATACTCCCACACATGCAGGGTAGACTCCATCACTCAAGAGAAGGGTTAACCTCAGTGCACTTGCAGGGAAGTCTGAAGTGGAAGTGATGGCTTCACTGCCCCATGTCCTGGAGTTGGATGTCAGGGATAGGACACTCATCAACAGGGAGTTGCTGAGAATCCTACTCCATTTCCGTCCCCCACCCTGGATGGGCCCTGGAGGCCGCAGCCTCTGACTGCAAGGGCACTCATCAGGACCACTTAGAAAATTAATCAAACCAGCTCAAACTAGCTTAAGCAAAAAGGCGATTTACTAGAAAGATATTATAGAGGTTGAGAGACTTGTTAGAGGAGTTGAGCACCTGGCCTTAGGATGGAATGAACCAGGACATTAAAGAACCTGAGGGTTCTTTCTGTAACTACAAACTTGAAAAGTGATATAACTCACCTTTTTTTTCCTCCCTTTCCTTCTTTGGTCCCTCTCAATTCTGCTACTCTCTGTACTGGCTTGATTCTCTCTTACTGAAGATTGGATTGGGGGTAAGGAGAGGCCACCAATAGATATGACCTTAAACTTCAGATTCACCGTTAAAGAATAGGCTCTTCACTGGAGACGTGAAAAAGCCAAAGGCTGATTACTGTGGTTGCTGGAGATAGAAGATTTGGGACCAGCTTGGGTCACATGCCTGTTCGCCACCCCCCAAACCACCAACCCCTCCCTGACACACACTGACTGACGCTAATCACTGTAGCCAAAAAAGCAACAGGCAATACCCGTCATTCAATTCTGATTGCTAGAGCAGTGCTTATCAATGCTAACGTGCACACATTAGGGGAACTTGTTAAAATGCAGATTTTGATTTCAAGAAGGAAGTCTGGGTTGGGGCTTGGCATTCCTAACAAGTTCCCAGGCAGAGCTGATGCTGCTGGTCCCCAGACCACATGGTGAGGCCCTTGGCTAGAGCTTGGGGAGAGTCAGAGTAGAGCCAGAGGAGGAACAGTTCCCCAGAAAAATGGAGCAGGGTAGCACAGAGCTGCACTAGAGGATATTTTTTTTAAGAGATGGAGTCTTGCTCTGTCACCCAGGCTGAAGTGCAGTGGTGCAATCATGGCTCACTGCAGTCTCTTCAGTCTCCCAAGTGGCTGAAACTACAGGCACGTACCACCACAAGTGGCTAAATTTTTTTAAGAGGCAGGTCTCACTCTGTTGCCCAGGCTGGTCTCGAACTCCTGGGCTCAAGTGATCCTCCTGCCTTTGCCTCCCAAAGTGCTGGGATTACAGGTATGAGCCACCATTCTAGGCCTCTAGTGGGGTTTTCGTGATGGAGAAGCCACCATAATTTGTATTTACGCTAATTAGGGTAATCTTGCCTTCCAGAAGCAAAATTGACTGCAGTTGGTCCTTGTACTTTCCAAATACACTTTAAGGCAAAAGCCAAAAATATTGGGAGCTAGTGATGTCCTTGGTGTGCAGAAGACAAAAAAGAAGCACCAGACTGAGATGGGATGAGAGTAACGGGATCAAGAGGTCAAGAGTGGCAGCGGCAGATCCCTGACTGTCTTAGCTCCAGGGAAACCATAGCTCACCACGCCTGGACTGCACGTGTCTGGGTTTGGTTGCAGGACTGGTGGTAGCATGTGCTTCTGCATCTTGGAGTGAGGGAGCAGAGATTTGTAAGGCTTTGATGCATCCACTCCTATAAACACTGCTGCAGTGCCTATCTGCTGCCTTTTGTGCCAAGTTCTGGCAGCCCAGCACATTGAGAATCATGCAAGGAAAGCAATGTGTGAGGCAGTTGATCTCTTGCAAACCTGGCTAAGGACAGCAGGGAGGCCATCTGGCCTCTCAGCAGTGGCCCTCTACAGATCAGCAGGGTCTTGATTCTGGGCTTGCATAGACAACATGGTCAGGGAAGATTTTGACTCCCTTGACCCACTTATGCCTAGTGTTCCATTATTGGAACGCCAAGCATGTCGGAGTTATTTATATCCTACTGCTCAAGGTCATCGCCAATGTCTGATTTTTAAATTCAAATTAAATTCAAAAAATCTCAACCTCCAGCATAAATGGGTTAACCATCTGGCTCCAGAACTGTTACCAAGAAATGACTAAAACAATTGTGGTGCCTGTTGGGGCATCCTGGGGTCTGGAATAAATGATAAATGTTAGAATCCCACCCATGGGTGTATGTCACCCCCAAATGTTCTGTCTTGGAATGGGAAAGGGCCCTGGGGCTCATACTAGGGTGGTTTTAATATGCTCGGTGAGAAGCTTTGCTGCTGTTTAGAGTTGCCCTTGTTCTTATGAACTGTCAGTTCCCTGCCATGAACAGAGAGGAAGCATAGTGCAGGCGGGACCTGTCCTCCTGCCACCTCCCAAACTAGGGCCCTTCAACAGTGATGTTTTCTCCAGGCCTGGGCCTCTCCTCCAGAAAGGTACTTCCAGCTTTAGATTTTCAAGTTATCAGGATTTGAATCTCATATTCACTGATTTTTGACTGTGAAAGGATCCTAGAGGCCATTGGACCTGGCCCTTCATTTCACAAATGAAGAAAACAACTGACACCCAGAGATTACAGCTAATTCATTTTTAGACTTATGATGTCTAAGACTCATTATCCGGTTCCCAAAAAGGGCACTCGAGCAAGATCCTGCCTCCAGACCCCTCTGATGCCATAGGCAGATGAGAGTAACTTTATTTTGAAAAGCTCCACTTTTTCTAGAAAAGATAGACTACCTCTCTCACAGCTAGAGCTGACTGTCACTGGGTGTCCATAGACTCCAAGTGCACAGAAAGGAGCCATAAACAAGAATCACAGCAAGATGGGAACTAGGAAGGCCTGTCGGGAAGCCTCTGGAGCAGGCAGGAGCCCTGAGGATGGCAGCTTCCGGGGTGCAAGCCTGAGTCTAGGAGGCGAGGAACTGAGAGCCGGAGCTCAGCTGTACCCAGGAGCTTTCTCTATGCTGGGAAAACATCCAAAAACAAGGATAACTTTCTGTCAACCCATTTTGAATCCTTGAATCTCTGTGTCGTCTTCAAGGGTGAACTATGCATGTCTCTGATCCGCATCACATGCAGGGCCAGGGAGCACACATTTAGATGGTTAGTCAAATCTAAATTATATTTACAAGAAGCCATCAGCATGTGCCATGGAAATCCATCCAGCTCTAAAGTCTATGCTGTTGGTCTGGATGTAGGCAGTTCTGGCTGTGTGTGTGAGGAAGAGAGAAAGAGAGACAGACATACCCAAACAGCACATCTGCCTTCAAAACCAGTGCACCCAGACACACCAGTCTCCTGGGGCTGGCCTTGAAAAGCTTTCCAATTAATAGAAATCAGTGTTATCCAAAAAGGCACATTATGGAGTTGACCCCATCCATAAGCATTCTTGCCCTTGAGATATAACAACCTTTAATTTCAACTTTCATAAAACTGTTCTCTTTAGGAATGATCCTGATTTTTCAAAAGCTGTTGAATTGGGGTCATCTTCGTCTTACTCCAGGTTTGAGACCAGGAAAACACAGCCTGTTCATTTGATGCTGAATTCCACAAGTCGTTATGTCTCTTCAGTTTGAAGGAGGCTGTTTTCTAAAAGCATAAATCATAAGCCAGAGGGAGAGCCCTTGGGATAATTCCCCTGAATGTTTCTTTTCTAAAGACAAATCTATGCCCATGTCTTTAAATAGTTTTAACACAGCTCCTGAAAATAGCAAAGAGCATTGCCTACACATCTGCATAATTAGTTGCAGGGAATAAACCCCAAATCCACATACCCTTTCCTGCAACACCCAGGGAGGCAGGTTCCTTAGGCTCAGCACTCCACACAGGTCCCTCGACAGCGTTGAGCCGAAGCAACGAAGGAACCACCATTGCAACAGGCTTGGCTCTGTTTCCTGGCTCTGTCTCGGCCAGCAGAGTAGGTGGGCAGCGACTCTCTTTCTGGTAAAGATTGTTCCACTTTACCCAGCACATCAGCCACAATTAAGGCTTCACTAAAATAAATGCAGAGAGTGGGGAATTGAATCAGGAGCCCCTAGTTCTAGACTCAGCCCTGCTACTAACTAGCTCCCCATCACCCTGGGCAGAATGCATCACATCCATGCCAGAGCTTTCCTACATCTAAAGTACGGAAGTCGGAGCTCTGACGTCCCTGCCAACTGATAGTTCACAGTTTTAAGATACCCACTTGCTAAACTTTCTGGCAGTATAAATGTGCTGACGTTGGCAAAATCTGCCTAAACGTCAAGCGCTGAGTTCCGCTCATTTATTCACAAATATTTCCTGACTGCCACTTTTGGATTGTGCACTATCCTAGATGCTGGAAGGTACAAAGGTGACTGAGACACAGGCTCCTTCTTCCAGGAAGAGATCGTGCTCTGCTAGGAGAGACAGCTATGTAAACAGTCATGATAGAGCTCTGTGGAGGTGGGAGGGAGGGAGGCACAGAATATTATGGGGGCAGATTTACAGGGTGCCTGGGGGGGGAACCCAAAGTCAAAGAGAAAGCCATGGAAGAGGAGAGAGCCAGTAACTCCATGAAGGAGACAGCAGCAAGGGGATATCTGCAAATTTCTGAAGCCCACGGGGCCTGAGGCAGAAACTGAGTTCAGCCAGATGCAGAGAAATGTCATGATTGTCTAGCGAGGAAGGTTGCCCATCTCAGTGCCTCGCTGTCCCAGCTGGGCCCTGTGATGGCAGCTCTGTGTTCCTGCAGCCTGCTTTAGTGACAGATCACTAGGACAAGATATTGTTCCTGCTCCTCTGAGAAAGGCCAAGGACAGCAGGTGACATTAACATGAGTGACGAAGGGACTACAGTTGGGCTGAAAGCCTTTTGGAATTCCCATAGGGTAATTAAACTATCCCATTACACGTTCTTGAATATCTGTGGGGTAGCTCTGTGAGATAGCTCATTGGATACTGCATTGCTGCCTTGCGAAGCTTGGGCTTTGAAGATTGCCATTCTGCCCACGGATGTGTACCCAATTTCCATTCCCTTTCATGGTGACAAATGCAAAGAGCACATTGGTCAGGCCAGTTCTCAAGTGTCAGTCTCTCGATTGCAAGCACGGGAGCCAGGCTGAGCTTGAGAGGGAGTGCTGCTCGCCCAAGGTCTTCAGGAAATCTCATCAAATGTTTGGAATTTTCATTGGTTGTCTTTCCACACTGTTAGAATCCTAGATCCCTGAAATGTGGTGTGGGGGTACAAAAGCAAGCCCAGCTTTGAAATCTCAGCTGCTTTTCTTGTTAAACAATTATTTGAAAATTCTTTTTCATAGCGAGCTAAATATACTCCTTTCTACCACTGCAAAGCCCTAAATAAATAACCACCCCTGAGGAAGAAAGCCAGGCCAGCCAGCAGATGAACACAGACACCTGCCACAGCTGTGGAGTCCCATTCTGGGACTCTGACGGGCACCCTCAGATCTGGTGTTGCTCCACTGTTCCCACTGAGTCTGAGTTCCAACTTCTTTTAAAGGAGCCAAGTAAAGGTCCACACACTCTGCTGTGTCTTCTCCACTCTGGGATATAAATGCTGTTGGATCATGTGTTATACAAATGTATTCCTGGTTCATCTCTTGACAGTTTAGTGAAACTCAAACCAATCATTGCTGATGTGGAAGTTGTGAAAAAGCAGGAACATAGAAGTGAGAGCCCAGCAGCTGTTATTTTCTGGTACCTGTTGAACAAGAGCTGAGCGCTGTTTCCCTCTGTTTTGCGGAGGGATGTGCTTTCTTAAAGCAGAAGGTTGACACTTTCCTGAGCCGCCTATTCCATTTCAGTACTAACAGCTGTCATTAGAGCCCATCTCCAGCTTGCTCTTCATCTCCTACGTCCATCGCAAAAAAATCACATTTTGCAAGGGATGGTCCTATGGGGTCTTTCTGCTTCAAAAAAAAAAACCTAGTGTGTAACCTCACTGGGTTAAGTGGACTATCACAAACAAAAGTATTCAGAGTAGATTTATTCCATGCAATATTTTAATGGACTCTTTAGAATAGGAAGAGTGGTTTCTGATATGGAGAGGCTGTTTCAGGTTGGAAGGAAATGTGCAGAGGTTCAGAAGGTCCGTCCTTCCTAAGTAGCCAGACTGCTTCACTTGCCATCTTAGTATCCAGACATAAATGGAGGCTGTCAGTCATCTCTGTCTTTGCCACTTCCATCTTCACCTTTGTCATAGAGCTCAGAATCACTTCACTGTGAATCTAGCAAGTTGGCCAGGGGCCCTGTGGACCAGCGATGCTTTGGGAACAGGCACACTCTCGGCACTTCTCAGATACCTCTGCTATTTGACTGAGCATGCAAAATAACCAGCTGGTCCCCAAAGAACAGATTCCTGTGGAGGAGGCTGTAAAACTCCTAGTTAGTGAGACATATATGCAGTCTGTGCTTCTCCACGTTCCCTCTCCAAGACCTTATCGTTCAGGCTGGACCAGTCCTCAAGGGAAAATCTCAGAAACTAAAATTTCTTGTAGGCTGCAAATGCCTTGAACTTACATTTTCTTTTAATGAAACATTTGCCTACAGTGGCTGAACACAGACAATTAAAAAAAACATGTGGTCAAAGGACCTGAATAGACATTTCTCCAAAGAAGACATACAAATGGCCAATAGGTATATGAAAAGATGCTCAGCATCACTAATCATTAGTGAAATGCAAATCAAAACTACAGTGAGATACCACCTCACATCTGTTAGAATGGCTGCCATCATAAGCAAAAGACAACAAGTGTTAGTGATAATATGGAGAAAAGGGAACCCTTGTACACCGTTGTAGAAATGAAAATGGGTACAGCCACCATGGAAAACAGTATGGAGATACCTCAAAAAATTAAAAATAGAACTACCATATGATCCAGAAATCCCGTTACTGGGTATATATACAAAGGAACTGAAATCAGTATGTTAAAGAGGTAATGTCTGCATTCCCATGTTACCACAGCACGATTCACAATAGCCAGCTTCAATGTTTATTGATGGATGAATGGATAAAGTGTGGTATGTATACAACATGTAATACTATTCAGCCTTACAAAAGAAGGAAATCCTGCCATCTGGGCAACATCGATGGACTTAGAGGACATTATGCTAAGTGAAATAAGCCAGACACAAAGGGACAAATACTATATGATCTCACTAATATAAGGGAATAGTTAAAATAGTTAAGCTTGGGCCGGGCACAGTGGCTCACGCCTGTAATCTTAGCACTTTGGGAGGCCAAGGTGGGAAGATTACTTGAGCCCTGGAGATTGAGGCTGCAGTGAGCCATGATCATGCCACTGCACTCCAGCCTGGGTGACAGAGCAATACCCTGTCTCAAAAAAAAAAAAAAAAACAGTTAAACTCATAGAAGCAAGGAGTATAATGGTGGTTGCCAAAGGATAAGGGGGGCAGAAAACAGGGAAGAGTTAGTCAGAGTGCAAAGTTTCAGTTATGCAAGATGAATAAGTCCTAGAGCTCTTCTGTACAGTAGAGTGCCTATAGCTACTCATACTGTGGCATATACTTAAATACGTGCTAACAGGGTAAATCTTATGTTAAGTGTTCTTAACACACACACAAAAAAAGAGGGCTGAGGCAACTTTGGAGGTGATGGATATATTTGTGGCATTAATTGTGGAGTTCATGGGTGTGTACTTACTCCAAACTCATTAAATTGTATACATTAAATATGCACTGCCTTTTTTAGGTCAATCATACCTCAATAAAGACAGGTTTTTTTTGAGAAATGTAAATATGTGACATCTCAGAGAAAGACAGTGTGAGTGATAAAGAAAAAGAAATGAAGGATTAAGGTATGCTGAAAGTGATTGAGGTAGTGTAGTTACTGTTTTATAGAGGGTGTCTGGGAAGGTCTCTGAAGTTTGGTCAGAGATCTGAAGGGGTGAGGAAAAGAACCATGTCCAGATCTTCCCCCATATTTACCTTTTTTACTCCAAAGAAGATGGTAAGCCAATGAAAGTTTTTGAGCAAGAAAATAACATGGTCTGATTTATGTTTAAAAGAAAGAGACAAAGGTATGAAAGAAGGATAATAATAATCTAGGTAAGAAATGATAGTGGCTTAGACGAAGTGTTAGCAAGTGCCCTAGGTGTTAATGGCACAAGTGTTCCTCGGACACATTTTCAGAGATCGTGATCTACCTGGATATGCATCAGAATCTCCTAAGTATATTTTAAAATACGTAAATTTCTGTGCCCCATTCCAGACCTGCTGAAACAGCATCTCTAGATTGGGGCCCAGGAATGATCAATTTGCCACTATTATAACTCTTCTCTGATCACCTACCCAGGGTCATTTCAGAACCTCCTTTGAGCCTCTAAAATTTAGCAGCTTAAATAAAGGTAGGCAATTCGCTGACAGAGTAAATCAGACTAACCCTCCCTTTAAGAAAAATTATAAAAGTTGGAGAAAATACTTTTAAAAATTGTTGTGGGACATCAGAGAGCAACCAATACAGCCAGGATTTAAAGTACCAGGATCCAGAGTGAAGGGACACAGAGGAGGGCAGCCATACATTTGCTGGTGCTTTGCCTTCTTATAGAATTTTCCAGTTCACATTGTGTGTCATAGAAGCCAAACAGAAACCAGCAGCATGGAACTTACAGCATTCATTAGGCTGGGAGGACAAAAAGCTAGAAATTCAAGGCTGGCAACCTAGCCATGGATTGAGATTGATTCAGGATCACAGAAGAGAAGAACTCAACAGAAGTCAATTTAAATTCCATGTGCTGTTACCCCTCAAGGCATTGACTGATACCTAAACTGAATGTTTGGGATCAGACAAGGAGGAACCAAACAAAAAAAGCGTCCACCAAGGCAAAGACTTTAGTAGTCTCATAGTCCTGGGGAGAAAAACCAGAGTTCAAACCCACCAACTGGGAGAAGCCCTTGTAAACAACCAATACTTTTAGTTGAGACCAACGAAAGTTCTATGACCTAAGAGTAAAGGGGGAAAAACAGAAATTGACTAGTATGAACCAGTCAAGGTGATCCTCATGCCAGAAAAAACTAAATCTACACCAGAAGAAAATGACATCATTCAGAGCCCTACAATTTTCTTTACACAGCCTGTCATCAATAAAAAGTAACAAAGCAGGCCAGGCGTGGTGGCTCACACCTGTAATCCCAGCACTTTGGGAGGCCAAGACGGGCAGATCATGAGGTCAGGAGATTGAGATCATCCTGGCTAACACGGTGAAACCCCATCTCTACTAAAAATACAAAAAATTAGCCAGGCATGGTGGCAGGCGCCTGTAGTCCCACCAACTCTGGAGGCTGAGGCAGGAGAATGGCATGAACCTGGGAGGCAGAGTTTGCAGTGAGCTGAGATTGCACCACTGCACTCCAGCCTGAGCGATAGAGCAAGACTCCATCTCAAAAAAAAAAAAAAAAAAAAGAGAAGAAAAAAAATTGTTAAGATTGTAAATGTTATATGTATTTTACCACAATTAAAAATTTAGAAGAACTTTTTAAAAGAGAGAAAGAAAGAAAACAGAGAAAGAGAGAGAAAAGAGCATGAACCTTTGAATTCAAATTTGTTCATGAAAATAATCTGGAAATTTTTAAAAAATACAATGAAGTTCACATTTAATGCAAATTTGCAGTAAAAAAATATAACTATGACATGTTTTATGTATGCATAAAATTTCAAATAATGTGACTTCTCTGAGATTTTAAAAGCTAAACAGGAATCACAATACCAATTCTGGAAGGCCAAGTGAACTATAAATGCCAGGTAATGGTGTTAACATTAACTGGCTGACGAACAGAAACGCAGTGCTACTGGGGGAAAACTAGTCAAGATTTGTAAATTTTGAATGATGGCATGCTGTCAAGAATGCATCCCACATATAAACTGCACCATTCTCTACAAAATTCTTGGCCCCTCACTGGACAGTATGATTAAGTATGTCTGGGGTCAAATCCAAGCAATTGTATTTTTAACAGCTCCCTGGGATTTTTTAAGACAAATGGCCCCATGCTTCATTGTTTGAAAAACCTCTGGTCCTCCATAAAGGAGTAAGTGCATGCATTCTGTAAAAAATTATTTGTAAACATGTATTATATGCTAGGCTATGAGGACATAATATGAAGCAAAAGTATAACAACCACACAGAGTGTATGTTCTAGTGAAGAAGTTGGACAATTAAATAAGCTGCTATTACAATAAAGTGCAATTACAATAAGGGTCCTGTACACTATGATGAGGAAGACAGGGCATTATGGGACCATGTGTCAGGAACACTTCACTGAAGGGGATATACGAGCTGATACCCAATTGATGGAAATTAACCAACCAAAGAGGTTGGCCATTATCCTAAGGGAAGGCCAGGGAAGAGGAGGATCTCTCTGAGTGTAGTGTGGAAAATGGAATGAATCAGATTGGAGGAGGGACAGCAGTGAAGAGAGAAGCTTAACTAGTCTCCAGCAGCAGTAGTTGAAGTGAGAGAGAATAAGGGCATGGGCCAGGGTACTGACCATGAGAATAAAATATTTAGTAGAAATAATCTATAGGCCATGGTGATAAATTAGATGTGAAGACGAAAAAGGAGAAGCTGAAAATGATTCTTAAGTATCTGGCCTGGGTAGAAACATGAATCATGGTAGCATCTCGGGATTGAGGATGCAGGGGAAAGACACTGAGTTTATTTGGGAAGGCTGAATTTGAGGCATCTGGGAATGTCCAGGCAAGGGTGGTATCAGATTTTTTAAAGTGTCCTGATTAAAGAGTCATCAGCTGGGCTTTAAAACCATGACAATAGATGACATTGCTCAGTGACTATTTGTAGGTTGAAGAGAACCCTAAGAAAATATCAAAGAACAGACAAGATCGGGCGTGTTCAGGGTGGTATTGCAATCTACCCATCTGACAAAGGTCTAACATCCAGAATTTACAAAGAACTTAAACATATGCACAAGAAAAAGACAACCCCATCAAAAAGTGGGCAAAGGATATGAACAGACACTTCTCAACAGAAGACATTTACACGGCCAACAAACATATGAAAAAAATGCTCAACATCACTGATCATCAGAGAAATGCAAATCAAAATCAGAATGCGATACCATCTCATGCCAGTCAGAATGGCAATTATTAAAAAGTCAGGAAACAGTAGATGCTGGTGAGGCTGTGGAGAAATAGGAACTTTTACACTTTTGGTAGGAATGTAAATTAGTTCAACTATTGTGGAATACAGTGCAGTAATTCCTCAAGGATCTAGAACCAGAAATACTATTTGACCCAGCAATCCCATTACTGAGTATATACACAAAGGAATCTAAATAATTCTACTATAAAAACACTTGCACACATATGTTTATTGCAGCACTATTTACAATAGCAAAGACATGGAACCAACCCAAATGCCCATCAATGATAGACTGGATAAAGAAAGTGCAGTACATATACACCATGGAATACTATGCAGCCATGAAAAGAAATAAGAACATGTCCTTTGCAGGAACGTGGATGAAGCTGGAAGCCATCAGCCTCAGCAAACTAACACAGGAACAGAAAACCAAACACCCCACATTCTCACTCATAAGTGGGATTTGAACATTGAGAACATGTGGACACAGAGAGGGGAACAACACACACCAGGGCCTGTTGAAGGATGAGGGATGAGGGAAGGGAACTGAGAGGACGGGTCAATAGGTGCAGCAAACCACCATGGCATGCATGTACCTATGTAACACACCTGCACATTCTGCACATGTATCCTGGGTTGTTGTTGTTGTTGTTTTTTTTAAGAAGAAATTAAAAGAAAAAAGAAGAATACCAAAGAAGGCCTACAGAGGAAGTCTAGAGGATGTGGAGAGGTCAAAGGAAACTTTGGGGACTGTGCTAAGTTGGAAGCTAAGAGGGTGTTTCAGGGAGAAACAGTCAACAATGTAGGAGGTTTCTCAGAGTAAGATGAACACCCAAAAGTGCCTTCTGGAATTGGCAATGTGAAGGTCATTCACAGTTGGTCCAGGGGTTTGAATGAGTGTGGGGAGCAGGCATCGACTAGAGTAGCTGGACAGTGAGGAAGGCAAGGTCATGGAGAACTTGAGCGTAGATGGCTATTCTGAAAAGTGTGGCTATGAAAAAGGGGAACAGAGGAAAGGGGCGGGTGAGAGGCTTGTTTTTGTACAGGGGTATGTTAAAGTTGGAAAAGCTTAGACATGTTTAAATGGTGATGAAATGGGTACGGGAAAAAGAGGAACATAAGAGTGTTCACTGAGGAATAAGCCCAGGCTGCAGGTTTGGCTCCGCTACTAACATCTGTTTGAACTTGAGTGGGTCTTTTCGTCTGTCTGGGCTGTGGCATCCTTCACTGTTAATTGCAGGGCTTCTCTCTCTCTCTGTGGTTTTCAAACTGTACCCCTCAAAGCTGTCTGAGTGCCCACATTTCAGCTTCAACCACAGAAACTTTACCTCTCTCTTATGTGTTTTTAATTAACTTAATTTTAGCAATTCAATGCATGCACATACTCTGGAAAAGCAAAATAGTAGTAAAAGAATTATGGTAAAAAGGAGCAACTTCTTCCAGCTCCACATCTGCCTACTCTCAGCCACCCTCAATTCTTGCGGATACTTTTCTCTAGTATTTATACCAATTTAGCTAAATTAAATTCTTATCTCAGTATTTCTTAAATATAGACATCCTCTGATTTCTATCTCACCCTACCCTTTCTTCCCCACCCCCAACACAATAATATCCCAATTTTTAGTTAATAGTGTTTGCATTATCATAAGCACACATATATTGTTCACTGACTCTGCCTCCTTTTGTGAAAAACCTGTCATTTCTCCTGCCAACAATATTTCCCTCTTTTGTCTCATTCATCTTGATTTCCATGTAATGATTGCTATTTTTTCCCCTAAACGTTCTGCCACCTCAAAAGCCTATCACTATTTTCCCTGTTCTTGCTTAATCACAAGACTTCCTCAGAGAATCTCCTCCAGGAGCCTTCTGCGGTTCCCGGTCTGCAGCAGAGCACCCTGTTGATGCTGGGACCCACTTTCTCTCTTGCCCGTGTGGAGCTGGCCTGCTTCCAGCTGCCACGTCTTTTTCCTCCTTGGTCTACACCCTTGCTTTGGTGCAGCCTGTCCTCCAGTGGCTTGGGAGACACCGCTGTTGAGGACTGCATAGCTGAAAATGCCTTCAATCTACCTCCACCTTTGATTGATAATTGATTGGTGATAGAATTCTGGCTGGAAAAAAAATTTTCCTTCAAAAATGTTAATGCGTTGTGCCATGATTGTCTAGCTTCCATTTTGGTTGTGGTGGTGTCTGATGAAATTACAATTTCCTATTTCTTGACCTTGTTTGTTTCATTTCTCTTGGGAGATTTTAGGTTTTCTCTTTATACCTTTATTTTACAAATAGGTGCCTTGTTGTGGTTCTTTCTTTATTCATTTTTTTGGTACTTGGTGGCCCCTTACATTATGAAGATTCATGTCTTTCAGTTCTGAGAAACTGTCTTGAATGATTTATTTTGTAATTTCCTCCACTTCATTTTTTCTGTTTGCTCCTTCTGGGGTTTTTAGTTTGATATTAGACTTTCTGGTTTAATCTCCTAATTTTATCCTTCCTTCCTTCCTTCCTTCCTTCCTTCCTTCCTTCCTTCCTTCTTTCTTTCCTTCCTTTCCTTCCTTCCTTTCTTCCTTCCTTCCTTCCTTCCTTCTTCCTCTCTCCCTCTCTCTCTCATTTTATGGGAGATTATTTTGACTTTATATTCCAACTTTTCTATTAATTATTTTTTTTTGAGACAGAGTCTTGCTCTATTACACAGGCTGGAGTGCAGTGGCATGATCTTGGCTCACTGCAACCTCCACCTCCAAGGTTTAAGCGATTCTCATGCCTCAGCCTCCCAAGTAGCTGGGACTACAGGTGTGTACCACCACACCAGATAATTTTTATATTTTTTTAGTAGAGGCAGGGTTTCACCATATTGGCCAGGCTGGTCTTGAACTCCTGACCTCAAGTGATCTGCCCGCCTTGGCATCCCAAAATGTCTATTAATTTCTAAAATGTAGTTATATATTTAATTTCCAAGATTATATCCTTTTTAATAACCATTTGTTCTTGTTTCATAGATACAATATCTTCTCTTATCTCTGCAAGGATATTATCTCTCTGCCACCCCACGCACATACCTATATAAATCCTTCCTGTCCTTTAGTCCTTCGGTTCAGCTCAAAATCCACATTTTTATGAGGACTTATCCAGTCAGCCCAACTCTCCACTGTAGCATCATTATATTCCACACCATCTATCTCCTATGTGAATATGTTAGGCTTGCATTGCCTCCTATGGAAGGATAAATGTTATCTCCCCAATTACACCTTCTCATGAGCAGGGGCTGCTCTTGAAAATTAAATGTAGGATACCAATATTTTAAAATGTAATAGAAGAGTTGGAATATAAAGTCAAGATAATCTCCCATAAAATAAGATAGAGAAAGCAAGAAGGAAAAAAGAAAATTAGAAGATCAAACCAAAAGATCCAATATCAAACTAAAAGAAGCACCAGAAAAACTGAAATAGAAAAAAACTAAATAGAAAAACTGAAGTGGAGGAAATTACAAAAGAAATAATTCATCTTAGTTTAAAAGAAAAGCTTCCTTAGCTTGAAAAGTTTACTTTTCTGTATCAGCCACAAGGCCTTGTCTAGAATTGTGGGAATGGCAAGTGCTAAACCAGTGTTTGTTGATATGAATTAAATGATAAGCCATCCTCATCCCTAAATGTGTGATATAACCAAATTTTAGAAATTCATAGAAAAGTTAGAATATGAAGTCAAGACAGGCTATCCCAGCTAGGATTCTTTAAAGAGTACTAAGAACATAAGTATGTAAGTATTTGTCAAATAATATGAGTGCAGAACTTATAGATTTTTACCATTTTTTCTTTTACCATGTTTCTTTGAATAATTCTATTGAATAATTAAATATTCAGTAGCAGTATTGCTTTTTTTTTTTTTTTTTTGAGACAGAGTCTTGCTCTGTCACCAGGCTAGAATGCAGTGGCACCACCTTGGCTCACTGCAACCTCCGCCTTCCAGGTTCAAGCGATTCCCCTCCCTCAGTCTCCCAAGTAGCTGGGACTACAGGCGCGCACCACCATGCCTGGCTAATTTTTTTGTGTTTTTAGTAGAAATGGGGTTTCACCATGTTGGTCAGGCTGGTCTCGATCTCCTGACCCTGTGATCCACCCACCTTGGCCTCCCAAAGTGCTGGGATTACAGGCGTGAGCCACCACCCCCAGCCTAGTATTGCTTATTTTTATTAAGTCTTTCTTGAAGCTCTCAATTTAGATTTCATGGAAAAAAAGTTTTCGTTTCCCACTCATATTTCATTGGTTTATGAAATACTTAATTAAACCGTGTAATTGAAATACCAAGAACAGCTAACTGGCACAAGCAGGATCAGAAGTAAATACATCTAATCTTTGTATGTGACTCAATCCATAGGAACAGAAGGACTTGAGTGTTCTGGAAGTAACCTGCCACCCTCTAGTCTTAAGCCTGCCAGCAGCATCAGTGAGCAGAAGGAATGAAGGGTGTTAGACTGTCCCGTCAGTAATGTGGGCGTCAGTCAAGAGAGTGTTGACTGTGCTCCATTTGTATACCAAGAAGAGGGAGGTCTCTGGCAGAAATGGATTCATGTTCATCATCTGTCTTGGGTTCCCTTGCAATCAAGGACGTACATGGGCCAGCCAGATCCTGAGATATTGTGCTGGGTTTTTTTGTTTGTTTGTTTTTTGAGATGGAGTTTCACTCTTGTCACTTAGGCTGGAGTGCAATGGTGCAATCTCAGCTCACTGCAACCTCCGCCTCCCGGGTTCAAGTGATTCTCCTGCCTCAGGCTCCCGAGTAGCTGGGATTACCGGTGCTCACCACCATGCCTGACTAATTTTTGAATTTTTAGTAGAGACAGGGTTTCACCATGTTGGCCAGGCTTGTCTCAAACTCCTGACCTCAGCTGACCCGCCTCGGCCTCTCAAAGTGCTAGGATTACAGGTGTGAGCCACCGCTGCCGGCCAATATTATGCTATTTTAAGACCGAAGACTGTGCGCTAATCTCTTAGCACTGAAGATTAGTGCATAGTCTTTGGTCTCAAAATATCACAAAGCTCACCAGTCCAGGGGGCCAATTGTCTTGGTCTCATTAGAACCAAGACCTACCAACCTAAGCTGTGATCTCCTGGCCATGAGGCCTTAAAGGGCCAGCAGGACTCTGCCAGGCCTCAGAGTCTCACCTTTTTCATCTCCAGGATGGGATCCCCACTCTCTCCCCATTTCCAGCAACTTGGGCCATCAATACCAAGCCATATCTGTGCCCTACCTCCCTTCTCCATCCCATCTACAATGATCAGGCTTTGGAGGAGTCAAATATGGATTTTCAAAGAGGAAGTAGGTTGCCCAGTTAGCCTTGGATGGCCCCTTCCAGAAGATGAATTGTTTTTCATGACAGTGAGCCAGGTGGAACTTGGAAATTCTGCTTGCATGATGTTCTTCTCTTAGAAAGGGAAACCTCTAAGTATAGTGGAGATAGATTGACATTAATGGCCAGAAAGAATATTTGTATTTTATTTTGGTCATACTCAATGGACCAGCATCACTTTGTAGCCACCATAATCACAAACATAAAGGAAGCCATCATTCACGGTCACTGCCCCTGGGGGAACAGACTGTTCTGCAAACAGGGGCTTGGGAAAACCCCATAGAAAATGTAGCTGGAATATTGTATGAAAATTACATGGCAAACAGAAATATCAGCCTCTCAGTTAGATGAGGGTTGCAGCTATATAAAGCCAAAATGGAATCAATTCAGTTGAATCGGTTTCATGATAAATTTAGTGAAGTGAATGTTTTACCTGGCCCCGGTTTGTTCAGAAGCAACATAGGACTCTGTGTACAGAGAGAGGTGGCCAAACTGCACCAGACTCCACAAAACGGTAAGTGTGTTTCTCCTCTCTCAATATCCCAGGCTCTCATGCCTTTCTCTAAGGAGTTTTCCTGTTCCTGCTATGGACATCCCATAGTTGAGTCATGAACAAAGACAGATTTCCTTCTAGATTGATAGGAAGACTAGACAGTAAAATTAAATTTAAAATCTTACCCAATCCCCTTTGACTCTTGTTTTTAATTTTCCTCCTTTTTCTCTGCATTTTAATATTAAGTGGCACAGACCAGAGCTATTCCCCCAACCTAGTGCATTTGGTTTATTCTAGAGATGTCTTTTCTTTTGTTCTCGTGGCAGTTCATTTGGGACTGAGTCTATTTCTAGATCACTAGCAGGCTGACTCCCTTCCTGGCTGGCAGGCCATCCCCAGCTGTGGCAGTGCAGCACCATGTCCATGAGCCTGGACAGGGACTTCCATGAAGCAGTGCCTCCTCACTTGTCCATCTCCTTGCCTAGCTCATCGGGCCCAACCCAGCAATGATCTTCACTCCCCAACAGTCAAGGAAAGAGGCAGCTGTCAACCAAGCCTTCTCAGTGGCCTTTCTCCACACCCGAGCTCCCCACGGCCTCCTCTACTTCCTTCTTCTGCATGTAGAAGACTGGCTTTAATTTTCTTAAAGATTTTTTGAACTATCTGTGATCCTTCCCCCTAGACTCTAGAACGGCATCAAAAGACTTTCTTCTACAGATGTTTCCTCATCTCATTCCCGCGTTAGACTCTGAACTTTTGGATCTGCTTATTCTTCCTGTGCTAGATAGTGTCTTAGAGAAGTGGGGCTTCCACATGGTGGAATAGGTACCCTAAAAATGGCCTCAGGGAGAAAATAGGTCACGAGTTAACACTATTTGTATCATAGCCAAAATGTATTAGATATACCCAAGAAGTGACTGCCCCTGCCTGATCACAAAGATAATTCCAACTGAGGGCAACATTTTTTAAAACTATGTTTCAATGTGTTCTCTTAGAGCAAGCTTGTCCAACCCCCGTCCCACAGGCCACATGTGGTCCAGGCTGGCTTTGAATGAGGCCCAACACAAATTTGTAAACTTTCTTAAAACATTATGAGATTTTTTTTTTTGCGATTTCTTTTTGTAGCTCATCAGCTATCGTTAGTGTTAGTGTAGTTTGTATGTGGCCTAAGACAATTCTTTTTCTAATGTGACCCAGAAAAGCCAAAAGATTAGACACCCTGTCTTCCCCAGAGTATCCATCCTCCTCCATTACCGTCCTTCTCCCACAACCCCCACCCCCAGAGTATCCATCCTCCTCCATTACCGTCCTTCTCCCACAACCCCCACCCCCAGAGTATCCATCCTCCTCCATTACCGTCCTTCTCCCACAACCCCCACCCCAAAAAAGGTTTAGTGACCCCCTTCTCTTACTCAGCAAGTGACAGAATCCCTCAGTCAATCACCATAGAATTAGGCCTTCGGGTCAGATAACACACCAACATTACCTTCTGTATAGAACCATAAATTCCAAGCTTAACATGAACAGAAGGAAGAATCTGTGACATTAGATCACTGTGCAACATTTGTTTCAGTGGACTAAAGCAATAGGTTGAAGGGCTTTAATAGAAAGATGTTTATTAAAAATAATAAATTTTAAAACCCTGCCCCTTCCTATATTTGCTTAAAAAAAAAAAAACTTGCTATAGGAAATAAATGGTCTGTCTGAACCCAGGAAAATAATAACGATGCCTCTCTTTCCTTGTTTTAGGGAATGCTGTCGATTTTTTGGAGACAATGGCTTGACTTTGAAGGTGTTTTTTACCAAGGCAGCACCCTTTGGTGTTCTTTGGACACTCACAAACTACCTGTACTTACATGCAATAAAGAAAATAAACACTACGGATGTCTCCGTGTTGTTCTGCTGCAACAAAGCTTTTGTGTTCTTGCTCTCATGGATCGTTCTCAGGGACAGATTCATGGGAGTGAGGGTAAGTTCCTTATTATCTGTCTTCCTCCCTCACTCAGTCATGTCAACCAAAACCTGCCCATCGGCTTGCTTAGCTCCATGTGCTGGACCATGAGCATAAGCTGCTGACCACTTTCCTTCTGATTTGCAGCAGAAAATGAGCCCAGCAGAGGGCCCGGTTCTTGGTGTGCCTTGCCAACCTTCTTGCTTGCAAACCATACTAGACAAGCATTCATTAAAGCACCTTTCATTTCAAGCATTTCAACAAGCATTCCCTAAAGTGTGTGCCAGTCGGGGACCCAGCCTGGGAATGGCGATGTGCTCCGCTCTCTGCGTGCTCACCCCGTCTCTCATGGGCGGCTTTCCCGGCTGTAGGGCGTGGCATGACCGTGCCCTGCAGCCTGGAGCTTTCTGCTAACACTGCCACTCTCGGGTGAGGATGTGCGTGAAACCCAAAGGATCCTTCGGCATCCATGCGTGCATGCAGTCTTGGCCCTTTGCCTGGGCCTTGTGTACACAGCCAGAGTTGGCCAGACACACTCATGCTAAGTCCCAACTGTGAAGGGCCAGCTTCACTTCCTTCTAACCAATGACGAAGGGGGAGTGAAATTATATCCCTTGAATTACCTCTCATTTTACAACCGAGACCCAGTCAATTACATTAGAAGCTAGTCAAAGTTAGCTCGTCGGATTTCATAACAACTGTATGAAATAGGACACGTGCACTATCAAATATCAGCTGAAATACAGAGAGATTCCCCCGAATAAAAGAAACAGGTGAAGTTTCAAAGCACAGGGCAGAACCCTAGAGACTTCTGACTGGCTCCCTCTTGTGGCCAGGAGCTGTCACTGCCCCGTCATCACCTTGCTACAAACCAGCGCCGAGAGCATTTAGCCAGGCCGCTAGTTCTCCTGTAGTTAGTGTACAGCTTTCCCCTTCAGCCACAAAGCTAAGAGCCGGTTTGAGGGGCAGTCCCATGAAAGTAAACCCTGCTGGCCACCAGTGCAGGGCCCTCTACTTCCGTCCTTCCCTCATTGTCCTGGGAACAATGACATCACCCTAATGGTGCATTCACACCCACCTAAGTTACCCAAACAGCAGTGGGGACGTGAGTCAACTTCTGAGTTATATTTTTAGCTCGCAGTAGGGGGAAAATTTGTTTTGAGGCTTAATGTTAATTTTGGAATAAAAACTCACTCTCTGTGCCACCAGAAAAGCTTTCAGCAAATAAATGATCTGATGCATCTCTGCAAGAAATGCAGATACTTCTCACAGTGAGCCACCCAGCAGGCTGCCTGACTCGATGCTGAAGATCTGAATGTCCTGGGCCCCCCTGCCACCCACCCATGTCCTTCCTGACTTTATTTTGATGTAAAGAGCCAGGAGAATTTATGGAAATTTTTGGCATGACTCAGATGTCCCTAGAAAATTCCAAATGAGACCCTGTTCCTGGGAAGAGAAGCTTCAAGGTTAATTCTGCATCTAGCAGAAGAAACCCATTTTTTTTGAGGTTAAGAGAAGGAGGTGTGAAAAACTTGAAAAATACTCCTAAATTCATAGAAAGCAACATGATGCTTCTAGATCTTTACTGCTATGCATGGATAAGACCCCTCCAACCCCCCACCCAAGAGTCATCCTCAGAATATGGCACATTCCGGCCATGGTGGCCACTTGATTGGTTTGGTCTGTTGCTGATCACTGTGTACTGAGCAAAGTTTTGTGTTGAAGGCCTTTGGTACTAGACTGACACTGAATGAAGATCCCAGGAGCCAGTGTCGGTGATGGCATTGATGGCATTTTGTAATTTGCAAAGCACTGTGCAGTTATGAGTCTCTCTAATAATCATTATTCCTCTCCGAAGTGCATGACCAGTCATCTAAGAGCTTCCTCCCACAGGTTGTGTTGGAACTCCCTCTTCTCTTCTTCAGGAGTTCAGAGAGCTAGCAAAATCCATCATGAGACACTGCCATGTGCCAAAGGGACTGAGAGATTCTCCTTGATAAACAGATGGAGATTTAGTTCCAAGATAATATCTAACTGGTGCATGGGACCGCTCAGACTTCACTCAGACCTGGGTTGGCTGGCACTGTCCATTAGGTAATTTCCAAAGACTGAAAAGAATTAACATAGTTCTCCATCCTGGAGGGCTGAGCATATGAGCTTGAGAGTCAAGCAGACATAAAAATCCATGTTGAAGGCACAGCCTTATGTTTGTGGAATTGGCTGCTAAGGAGACTTTTGTTATTAAGGCAATTATTCAAACCACAAGGGCCATGGTTCCTGGAAAACATCAATAGGTCGAAGTCATGTGCGCAGATCCAAAAGGAAGCAAACGTGTCTTATCATGCTGGGGAGATTCCTGGCCACGTATGGTATGAGAGGGTGAGAAGCCATTGGAGTGTCTGTTTGGAAGGAGCCAAGGTGGCTCCTTGTGTCGCCATCTGACTCTCTGCTTAGGTGTGCTTTCTGTACGTTCCCTGGTTCTCCAGGTCAGGGTTCTAGCTCAGCGATGGAGATGTCCTAGGCTAGAGTCAAGTGACGAGGTCACAGATCTTGGCTCCATTGTTATAAGCTGTTTGGACCTTGAGCAGACTAGTAAATGTCTCTGAGCCTCTGTTAAATGGAGAGAATATTACTACTCATCTTAGAAAACAGTTGTGAGAATAAGATGATGCATGCCTCACACATAAAACTCAACAAATGGTATCTTTTCTCCATGGCATTATTCTTATTATTCCTTCTCAATTGGAGGGGGTTGATGGATCAGCCCAATTCTCTTGTTGGTGGATGAACATTTAGAGAGGCAGTTTAATGTGGCAAAAGCAAGAGTAGGATGAGAGCAGGTAGAACCCTGGGCGCACACTGCCTGCTAGCTGCAGCCAGGCTGAGTGAGACCACCCCCAGCCTCCATGTCAAGGGAAATGGGAGGTGAGATTCTCCGATTGTTCAGGGCTGTTCGGGACCACCAATCACAGTGAGGGTCTTTAAACCAGGAGGGACGGGGGAAGGAGCCAGAAGGTGAGCTAAGAGGTCATCCATGGGGTCCTCAAACCCCAGCGGCACATTCCTGGGGATCATGGACCTTTTTCCAAGATCAGTTCGCATCTCAATCAGATTCCAGCTGATGTTTCCAATAATCAAAATGTTCACAGTGTTTCAAAAGGGGCCATCCATTCCCAAACAGTATCTGGTATCTGGTCCTGACTCCCTGCTGTGTGGGGGGCTGCCCTCTGCAACCTGAGCCCAGCATGGGGGAAGACACAGTGGACAGGCAATGGTGGAGCTCACAGCCCAGGCCACTTTCTACTCTCGGACATAGAAGGTGTGGACTAGAGGATCCCCCAGTTCCCTCCAAACTCCAGTAATCCTTGAGTCAATGAGAGCAGGCCAGCAGCTGGGAGGGAAAGAGTTGGGGGAAGAATGATTAAAAATCAGTCCATTTTTCCCTTTTGTAAAATTGCCTGTAGCTGTGCAAATCTAAAAAGCTTCCAAATGGGGTTCTGTTTGGCAGAGAACAGGCACCCCGCCACGTTTTGTTGTTTGTTTTTTTTAGGTTTTTTTGTTTGTTTGTTTGTTTGTTTGTTTTTGTTTTGCAGAGACAGGATCTCACTATGTCACCCAGGCTGGATTACAGTGGTGCTATCATAGCTCACTGCAGCCTCAACCTTCTGGGCTCAAGTGATCCTTTCACCTCAACCTCCTGAGTAGCTGGTAGTCAGGGGCATGCCACCACACCCAGCTAATTTTTTGCATATTTTGTAGAGACAGAGTCTCACCATGTTGCCCAGGCTGGTCTTGAACTTGTGGGCCCAAGAAATCTGCCCGCCTCAGCCTCCCAAAGCACTGGGATTACAGGTGTGAACCACCGCGCCAGGCCTTGCCACCTTCTAGCAAGACTAAGCAGGAGGAGCCCTAGTCTCAACAGTGATTAGACCTCACCTAGGGCACCACTAACCCTCCTCTCTCCTCTTTAAAGCTCAAAGGTTTCTGTTGCCTTCCCATTCAGCCCCACAGGGAGCAGGGAGCAGAACTGTCATGGAGATGAGTGGTGTGTCTGTGACTCAGGCCTGGGTGCGTGGGACTCAGATCTAGAGCTCTGGCAGCCGGGCAGGTTATGACAGTGGGTCACCATGCTGGATGAGGACAGGAAGATGCTAAGCAGTAATCCCCGGCCTGTGTTCCTTCCTTACCTCCAGCCAACTGTTCCCTAGACAAAGAAGAGGTGGTGGCTCTTACCCATCTCGGTCTTGGGCCACTGTGACCCATCAGTCTTTGTTTCAGGATTGTTCCGTGGGGAGCATTGAGGGCTGGGGGGGACAGGACAGTGTAAGGAAGGAGAGGCATGGGGAGGTCAGGGGAGCTCCGTTGTCATGATTCCACACCCACCCTTAGCACCTGTCCAGGGGCCCCAGTAGGGAGAAGATGTACATGGAGCACATGGAACCACAGGGCGGACTTGACTGGCCTTCCTAGAGAGTTTGTTTTAGTGCAGGAAATGGGCAGGAAAATATTGTCACATGAAAACCCAGAAACTCAGATGTGTCAGGGTGTCAAATGTAACATATGTGCATACTTTTTAAAAGATAGAACTGGAAACTTAACAGGAATTCCAGGCATCAGGAAGGAATCTTGAGCTCTGCTCCCAAAGGCACAGGGCACGTTCCAACCCTGCTGTGCTCCACAGGGTATTGAGAGTAAGGTAGGAACCCTAGTTCACATCCCAGCACATGGGTCCGGTCATAGCAGGGCTGCTGATGTCCAGAGAGTGGAAGGCCCACAGCCAGGGATGTCAACACTGTGCCTTGTGGGCGGGACCCCCAGGAGAAGGCTGGGAGGTGTGGAGGAGGAGATCAGAGTCCCCCGCCTGCCTGTCAGAATGAACTGATGGGGTGGCACAGGCTCCTCTGATGTTTATCTCCTCAACAGACCAAAAGGTCAATGTCCAACCGTGCTCTCATTTCCTACCCCCTTGTCCCTTCCCCCAGCTTAGCTGCACAGTGCAGCCCAGGCAGAAGCTTTTAGCTGTTTATTATTTAATCAATAGAGAACAGAGGAAGAGGTTGGAAATGTGCCCTGCAAGTCTTCAGAAAAAATCACCCCTCACTGTCCTTCATTGCCTCCAACTTCAGCCGTAAGCCTGGAAAGGTAGCTCCAGGTAGCTCAATAAAAGGTAGCTCCAGGCCGGGCACAGTGGCTCATGCCTATAATCCCAACACTTTGGAAAGCCGAGGTGTGTGGATCACCTGAGGTCAGGAGTTTGAGACCAGCCTGGCCAACATGGTGAAACCCCGTCTCTACTAAAAATATAAAATTTAGCCAGGTGTGGTGGCGGGCACCTGTAGTCACAAACTACTCAGGAGGCTGAGGCAGGAAAATCACTTGAGCCCTGGAGGCAGAGGTTGCAGTAAGCCGAGGTAGTGCCATTGCACTCCAACCTGGGCAACAAAGCAAGAATCCATCTCAAAACAAACAAACAAACAAAAAAGCTATCTCCAAAGGGGAGATGCACCAAGCATCTGGAATTGGGCCATTTTCTTCTCTCTGTTCCTTTCTCCTGTATTTTCACTGGGAGTCCTCTGATGCCTGCCCGGTTTGGCGTGTTCCTGACAGCCCCCTTGCATTACATGTGTCCTCTGGAGCAGAAACCAACCCTTTCCCCACCTGCTTTCTCACTTTTCCCTTTTTTATTTTCTTGTGGGGAAAAATTCCCTTATGGTCTTGCTATCTCTGTTTCTTCTCTTAATGAACACTTCTACACAGTACATGTAGCATTTGAATATGAGATGTAGGCATACATCTGATGCAAAACGGTGTGGCTGACTACAAGTGAATTCCCATACCAGAAAGAACACGCAGACAGATTGGGCCAGGCAGTGCTCTCTTACACGACAACCACCTGCTCTCTCAATGCCTCTGCGTTAGGGGTGGATACAGTATTATATAGAAACATAGCGTATAAGGTATAACCTAAGAGAAGTACGTAACTCAGACATACTGCATGAGATTAAGCCACATTATGTTTCACTAACCTAAACATCTTTTGTTTTAACTACTAAGGCAACCTCAATTTGAATCTAACAGTAGGTTGGCAGTACTTCCTATGTGAATCATGCATTCCTGTTTATATATGTAAGCACCAACTTTGCAATTAGGCAGACCTGAAATCTGACTGTGCTCTTCCACATACCAGCTGTGTGGGTTTGGGCAAGTTACTTAACCTCTGTGAGCCTAGGTTTTCATGTCTACAAAATGAGGTGAATGATAATATCTACTGTGAGGATAAAAGGAGAAAATACATAGAAACATATATCCTACG
The DNA here is from genome assembly GCF_000001405.40 of Homo sapiens. NCBI lineage: Eukaryota > Metazoa > Chordata > Mammalia > Primates > Hominidae > Homo > Homo sapiens. The sequence goes on from NC_000001.11 coordinate 234,315,616, forward strand.
ACCACTCAGTTAACCTTAGCTATTTGATATTGTTTTAGACAGCTGAAGTTGACTTTGAATGATTCATAAGAGGGATAAAATTCTCAGTAAATCCAGGAGTGGAAACTTCTGCACACATTTGTTCTACTGACGGCAACCCCCTCTCCACCTCCCACCTGGTGACATTTCTGCAGCTTCATGGCTACCTCAGATCAGTCCTTGTATTGATTCTCTGTGCTGGTGCATTTTCTCCTTTGAGGAATATTGTCCCAGATGGTTTATCTCCTATTTACTCTGGCAATTTCACTTTCCATGAGAGTAATATGTACATCTCCATGAAGCCTCCGTCCCATCTGAGAAGTCAGCATCAGGACAATAACAGGATTGAGGGGAGCCTTGGTGGGTAGGGTGGAGGGGCCTGTGGCCACGAAGGAAAGGAATAGCACCTCCAAGGTTAGGACATTATTTGTAGCCTTGATTGGCAGGTGACATTCTGTCAGGCCCCACTGCTGGGGTAGAAAATGGGGAAAAGATCTGCTGTCCTCCTGGTGGCTTCCCTGTTGAGATATGAAATACATAAAAGCAAGGTCACAGGAGGTACTTTCAGAAGGCTGGGGAAGAACTCAGGTCATCTCCAGGGGCTTCCCAGGGATTATCTACCAGGCTTGTCATGACCAAATAACCTGCCACTGCAACTATGACCACCTCCTTCTCAGGTCCCTAAGAATCGCAGTGACTGGCCACCACCATGCCACCCATTCCCTGCTGCCAGCAGTTTCAGTTCTTTGGTCAAGCCAAGCTTTGCTAAGTGCCCTCTCTAAGCAGCAACAAAAATTTAGACAGGAGTCAGACTTTGCCTGTTGCTCTCCCAAGGAGGAACAAAAAGGAGACACCACTTTCCCCTCACGTGGCTGAACCCCACGCACATTTCCAGCTCTTTGGCGCTTGCATACTCCCTCTGACTCCGTCCCGACTTCCCTGACCAGCATTTTCTTCCGTCTGTCCAGATTGTGGCCGCCATCCTCGCCATCGCTGGCATTGTGATGATGACCTACGCTGATGGCTTCCACAGCCACTCCGTCATCGGCATCGCACTGGTGGTGGCCTCAGCATCGATGTCTGCCCTCTACAAGGTACGCCCGGGGAGTGAACTTTCTCAGCTGGCTGGGCTCTCCTCAGCCAGCACAGCCGGCTTTAGATCGCTTGTCCTTTACTTTTCAACAGCTTCTGATGATACCTGTGCTTCAGGACAGGCAGCTCTAGATAGCTGGAGTCAACTGTGCAACAGGCAGACAGAGACTTCAGTCAAGGGCAAGGGGGAGGTGTGCCACTGCTCTTGGCTTTGGCTCTCTGGGCCTTCCTATCTGTAGCCACATCGTTGCAGCACCTGGGATAAAATGAGTGGTGCCCATCCGCACAGTCAGATTCCTGACATCATTGATGGCAGCGAACAAGTTCAGTGTTTGCTCAGATCATTTGCCACCCTATGGGGTGGGAAGACTTGAATATCTGGTGCAGCTTTGTCATGTAAATCTTTGCCCACACAGTTTTTGCAGCCACCACTGCTCGCTATGAATCCATATGCATTTCAAGTACTGCCTTGAAGGCTAAATAAATAAAAGTACAACGGCTGTAATACGGGGATAATAAAGTATTTTGATGAAATGTTGGGAACCATGGGAAAGCACTTGCCAGCTTCAGGTCTAGAGGAAACAAATTTTTATTCCCACACTCAGGTCCCTTTCTCTGTTCACCTCCTACTTTATCAAGCCCCCTGGCTGCTCTCCCCCCTCACTTCCCTTCTCCTCCTCTCTCCTTCTCCTAAGATCCATAGCAGAGAATGCAAATATTTTCAGGACTCCAAGTTGGAGAACTGACCTAGAAGATTCAATGAGAAAAGAGATTTTAGTTTTGAGACGTATCAGCCCTTTGTGGATCCAGACAATAGGACTGATATAATTAAGTACTGTAGAGAGTCAAAGAAAAGGCATTTTTTTCCCAGCTCTGTGAGTACCATGTGTTCTGGGTTTGGGAAAATGAAATAACTCAGCCTTATCCTTCATCACCTCCCTGCCCTCACCTCCCACAGAGGAAGACACACATGTCATTTTCTTTCTCTGAGCACCTCTCACTGAGGAGATGTGATAATCTAGCACCACTCTGAGACTCTAGCAACTGTCCAAATGCAGGAAATATTAGAAGGCTGCATATACTCTGCTAGACTCAAATAGCTGTGGACTAATGAGAAGCAAAAAACAGGGAGAAACACAATCCACAATGAACACAATATTCTGATTCAGATTCCAGTCTCCAACTCCTCTACCACCTGCAACTTGTCCATGGGGACTCCTAGGTGAGAGGCTGAAAGCCATTTACTACTTCCTGAAAGCCTTCCTACTTCCTGCATTTTTCAGGAAATACATGAATGAGTTGGGAAATGGCTGAACCAAGGAGAAAGCAGGAAAAGTAAGAGAGACAACAATGCAGAGACTCAAATTGGACCACAGCTCACTCAGCGCAGGAGCTGCCCTGGGGCCATCTGCATCTCTCAGTTCAGCTTCTGGCCACTCCCATCACATTCACCCTCTCCTCCCAGCCTTCCAAGCCCCTGAAATGATGTGCAAAAAAAGAACAGGTGCAAGAAAATAAAAGTTTGGTGCATTCCACTAAAACCCATGCCATTTCTGGAATGGACATGGTGGGATGGAGCAGAGATGAGCAAAATCCCTCCACCCTTGATTTACAGAACGTATCTTTGCAGCCAGAGCACTGTTTCTTGGGAGCAGTGGTGTTCAACCTGCTTATACAGGGTCCAGGATCCCTTCCAGGGGTCTCTGAGAGGATGCGTAATCATGGCAGATGTTTTTTAGTGATGTAGTGTCAGGAACACAACACAGACAAATCAAACCTAGTATGAAAACCCATGACTTCCAAAGAAGCTTTCTGTATAGCTAAAGAGCAACCCTCCACTGCCATGTTCCTGGGATTTGAATATGTGAGCAAATGAACACAGGCCAAACCCCATGGAATTCACCTGGAATCTGGTTTCCATCCTGCAGTGCAAACCCAGCGTTGTGGAGTGAACTCTGCTTTGCTTACATCATATTGGGGTCTGAGGTGAGCCTTCACCCCGTCCTCCTCTGCTTTCTCCTACAGGTTTTGTTCAAGCTCCTCCTGGGCAGTGCTAAGTTTGGAGAAGCCGCCTTATTTTTGTCCATCTTGGGTGTGTTTAACATCCTCTTCATCACCTGCATTCCTATTATCCTCTACTTTACCAAAGTGGAATACTGGAGCTCTTTTGATGACATTCCATGGGGAAACCTTTGTGGATTTTCAGTTCTTTTATTGAGTAAGTGCTAATCACCTGTCCAGAATTCCCAGAAAGCAACCACCCACAGAGGACCCTCAGGAAACATGTTCCCTGAAGGCAGAAAACAGTGCTCTTTGCTATTCTTTAGTTCTCACTGGTTTTTAAGATCTTTCTGTTTCACAAAGTAGTCTTTGAAATGATGACATTGGATTTGAATTCCAGAGCCAGAATCAGTGCAGTAGTCGCAGTGGTCACTGCTGCTCTGAATAATGAACTAATACCCCAGGGTGTTGCATGTTACCTACTAAGCACAGTACAGCAAGGAGCTGATAAATTAATACCTGCAGAGGTCTTAGAACATTGCCTGATAAGTGTCAATATTCAATAAATACTATAGATTATCATTATTATTAATATCATCATCATTGTCTCCATTACTTGATATAAGTCTAGAGCTAGGCAGGAATGCAACCAAGGACATGACTTACCCAGTTTCCATCTAAAAACACATATCCCAGCCAGGTACAGTGGCTCATGCCTGTAATCCCAGCACTTTGGGAGGCCAAGATGGGAGGATCGCTTGAGCCCAGGAGTTCGAGACCAGCCTGGGAAACATGATGAGACCTCATCTCCATAAACATTTAAAAATTAGCCAGGTGCAGTGGTGTGCACCTGCAGTCCCAGCTACTCAGGAGGCTGAAGTGGGAGGATCACTTGAGCAGAGGGATTGAGGCTGCAGTGAGCTATGATTGCACCACTGTGCACCACACTCCAGCCTGGGTGATAGTGCAAGACTGTGCCTCAAAACAAAACAAAACAAAACAAAACAAAAAAACAAAAAACAATTCCCAGAGCTCCTGTTCATGCAGTTATCCCAGAAGCATTGCCAGCAGCAGAGAAAAGCAAAATTGGTAAGATGGTCCCAGTCACCTTCTCAGTGGTTACCATTTCCAAACTTATTTCCCTTCTTCAAAACTCAGGGAACAGAGGGGCTGAGTACTCAGAGTGTCTGCTCCTGGTCCCAAGTCCTGGAGCCCCCAGAGGAACTCTGAGTTCACTGAATCAGAGCAGAGGGTCATTGTAACTCCTATGACTCCAGCCTCATCAGGAAAACCTGGGTCAGATAGGCCAGCAGGGAGGTAAAGTACACAGCAGTCATGAATAACACTCGTTGTTTACATTCTTTATTTCAGCATTCAATATTGTATTAAATTTTGGAATTGCCGTTACATATCCCACTCTGATGTCTCTTGGAATCGTCCTCAGCATACCTGTGAATGCAGGTAAACCTATGCGGCTTTCTATATCTGCACATAAGCACACACACTCAGTCACCTACTCACACACACATACACACACTCATGCATACATACACACTCACACATACACTCACATACACACACTCATGCATACACACACACACACATACTCTCACATACATACTCACATATATTATTGCTCTGCCTGCTATAGAATGCGTGTTTAACTGTCTGCCAAAAAAAAAGCATTTAGGTGAAATGTTGCTATTAGTTATATATGCAATATTTTCTCCATAATGGGCTGATTTTCACATACCACTTCAAGACACAGAAAGTCTAAAGGCATCTTGATTCTAACTGGTATGGGGAGCAGAATGAATCTCATCAGCATTATTAACAAATGTAGGAAATGATGTAGCAGAAAAAAAATGTCACTTTTGCAGGTAACTTTCTGGGGGAGAAAATTTGCTCAAGGCATGAGGTAGAAACATGCTGACAAGCTGAAGAAGCGTGAACGGCATTTTCCCTGACCTCCGGGAAGACAGGGAGAGAACGCCCTTTGCCCAGGAACTCGGGACTGCCCTTTGTTTTCCCCTGGGGACTCGTTGCCAAGGCACACAGTTGACAGCTCTTTCAGAAGCTTGTCTTCACCTGCCCCTCACTGCCTTCCTTTTCCTGGCTCGCACGGATAGGAATTTTGGATTTTCTTCCCAGAACCTCCTGGCCTCATACCTGACCTCCCTAGGCATCCTTCTCTCAGCCAGAAAAGGGCTGTGAATCTGTCCTCCCCAGAACACTCACTCCTTTGTCCCTGGCACAGCTTCCTCCAAAGCCATCTCCCAAATCCTGCCACTTCCAGGCCATTAAAAGATTGCCCCCCCCCCACCCCAAAGGAATGGCAAACCCTTATCCTGTTCAATGTGGTGGTGACTATGCCTGCAGGCACCCCAATTTCCCAAGCCTTTCCTCATGACTTGGTTTCCCACCGCTCCCATTCCAAAGGCGCTCGACCTCTCTGCCCCACCATGGCCCAGACTCCCCCAGAAGGACTGCCTCACAGCGGCGGCAGTGTACCAGGCCTGGGGGAGGTGTCAGGAGACAGGGCTCAGGCCCAGCACCACCACAACCCACCTGGAGATCTGTGGTCCCAACATATCTGCTCTCTGAGCCTTAGCTTGCCTCCCCTGCAAATGAAAAGTCATACCTACCCTTGCTACTTCGGTTGATGTGACAACCAGATGAAATAACCGATGAGACAGCATTTCAAAATGCAGAAAGCACCTGAGCTCCTGGACAGCTGGTAAAAAAGAAAAATGGTCCAGATGCTGCAGGCTTCTGAAAAATCACTTGTCACCGTCCTCCCCCTACATTCTTTGCATCTTTAGTTTGTGGTCATACCGTGTTCCTGTCTCCAGAAGGCGTGCTCCAGTTGTCTTCTATAGAAACTTCCTTTCAGCGTATAATATGGCCAGGTGTTTGAGAGATTCATTAAAATCATTTTTCATTACTTACCTGCAACATAAAAGGTTTAATGATGAGTCCAGAAAAGGAATCCCAGGCCACTCTTGATTGGAAGAGAGAAGCCGGGGACCCTGCCGCGTATCTCACTTGTCAAGGCAGAGCCATTGCCTGGCTTTTGGGTTCTCCCCGACATCTGCTCAAGGGACTGGCTGGTTGGCTCTCCTTATCTAGTGAATTAACAGGGTGTTTTACCAATATTAAAAATTAAAATACAGGCCAGGCACGGGAGCTCACGCCTGTAATCCCAGCACTTTGGGAGGCCAAGGTGGGAGGATCGCTTGAGCCCAGGAGTTCTAGACCAGCCTGAGCAACATGACAAAACCCCATCTCTACAAAAATAATAATAATAATAATAATAACAAAAATTAGCCAGGCGTGGTGGCACCTATAGTGCCAGCTACTCAGGAGGCTGGATGGGAGAATCGCTTGAGCCCGGGAGGTGGAGGTTGCAGTGAGCCCTGATGGCACCACTGCACTCCAGCTTGTGTGACAGAGTGAGACCCTGTCTCAAAAAAAAAAAAAAAATACAGTTGACCCTTGAACAATGTAGAGAATGGGGGCACAAACCCCTGAATAGTTGAAAATCCACATACAACTTTCAGTTCCCCAAAAACTTAACTACTAATGGGGTACTGTTGACCAGAAGCCTTACTGATGAAAAACAGTTGATTCACATATGTTGTATGTGTTATTTGTGTTATGTATTGTACTCTTACAATAAAGTTAAAGAAAAGAAAATGTTATTAAGAAAATCGTAAGAAAGAGAAAATATATTTGCTACTTGTTAAGTGGAAGTGGGCCACATAAAGGTCTTCATCTTCACTGTCATCTTCACATTGAGTAGGCTGAGGAGGAGAAGGAAGAGGAGGGGTTGGTCTTGCTGTCTTGGTGTGGCAGAGGTGGAAGAAAATCCACATGTAAGTGGATCCGTACAGTTCAAACCCATGTTGTTCAAGGGTCAAATGCGTGTGTGTGTGTGTGTGTGTGTGTGTGTGTGTGTGTACTATCTATCTCTCATCTCCTCAACTGCCCTTCATTCACTTGTTTTAATCACATAAATCAATGTTTGAACTACCAAGTCAGTTTTGGGAGGTGACATACAAGTGCAAGGCTTCATACCAGAGAGGTTTGATAAAGTTAAGGGTTGTTTACTAGAGGTAACCCCAGCCCACCTGGAACAAAATCATACTGAGGAGAATCCTGTGGTCCAGGGAAGACCACAACACTGCCAGACAGAGGAGGGTGCCCCCAGGCCCTGCCCACTCTCCAGGGACATGCCCCCAACCCTGCAGCTGAGAAACCTCCATGCTCTGTCTCCCACAGTGATTGATCACTACACCAGTCAGATCGTCTTCAATGGGGTCCGGGTCATCGCCATCATCATCATCGGCCTGGGTTTTCTCCTCCTGCTCCTGCCAGAGGAGTGGGATGTCTGGTTGATCAAGCTGCTCACCCGACTCAAAGTGAGGAAGAAGGAGGAGCCTGCAGAGGGCGCTGCCGACCTGAGCTCAGGACCTCAGAGCAAGAACAGAAGAGCCCGCCCTTCCTTCGCCCGCTAACACCACTCCTCTAGAACTCGGTGGTAATGACTGGGAGGTCTATTCCTGCCGGGAGGAACCTCAGTTGGGTAAGGTGTACATACCTGTACAGTTTTGGTCATCTGCGGTAAGTTCTATGGTATTTATTGGCATGTCCAATTTGCTTGCACTTTTCCACATCAGACCTTCCACTTAAGGGTACCAATTCAATACAAAAGAGAAAAGAAGAACCTCTCAGTGCTTTTCCAACGAATGTAAAGTGGGTTTAAAAGTTCCCTGCGTAGATCGTTTTGGATGGCTGACGTTCTTGACAAGCCAGCCATCAGGGCAAGTGTTTTGAATCTTAGCAAGTGTTTTGAATCTTAGCAACTGAACATGACATTGCACACTGTGATTATTTTTCAGCTATGGTAGGTCATATTTTGTTTTATACCAGAGCTGTACTCTTAATTTTAAGGAATTTCAATGAACCAAAAGATAACTGTCAATTTATTTGGATGGATGGATGGAGGGATGGAAGGAGGGAGGGAAGGATGTCTGGGATGTGAAGAGGCAAGGCAGAAATGGATGATGAACATCAAAAACTGTCAGAGGACAGGTCTGTGCCAGGTACCAGGAAGGACAAGATAAGTCCAAGCCCCGGCTGGCCTGCTCTCACGTGTCTGTGTAAGATCATGCAAGAGAAATCACAGTGCCTTCTACAGAATTTTCGTCTTTACCTATGTGAAGCGAGGTGACGTGATACGTCACTGGCGCCGTCTTATAATTTAGATGTAAAAATCTTTAGAAACAAATAAAACTCTCTATATATGTGTATGTCTGTGTACAAAAAAATGACAGAGCTGATGGCCAGTGTATACAGAGCGTGGCCCGCGGTGTACAATACCCATATAAGGTACATTGTGCAGGAGGGGAATTGCTGGCTGCTTTTACTTCCTGACCAAGACTGAAAAATTATTTACTGAAATCTGTAAACCTTTTTATGAAACTTTTAAGCACCAGGCTGTTTACTTACACAATTTAGGTCTGCCAGAAAATTCTATCTGTGATAGATCTGTAAAGAGGGTCAGGGGTTAGAGTTTACTATTTTTGAAGTTTACATTGTTACATATGAAATGGAAACATTATTTTGAAACGTTGTCATAACCCAATGGTGCATTCTGTAACCATGGAGTCTTCTGTTTCCTGGGGGAAAGGGGCATTCATGACCTGAACTTTTTAGCAAATTATTATTCTCAGTTTCCATTACCTGTTTGGCCAAACAGATTAATAAAATATTTGAAAAAGAAGCGTTCAGTGCTGTCTCCATGGCCATTCTGTTACTTTCCCACTGCACCAGTCCTGAAGCAGTCCTCACCACATTCTGGCTTTTCCTCAATTGCACTTGCCCCCAAGAACCTTCAGGGTGGGTAAGCCAGCCCATCTGTCTCAAGGGAAGGAGACTGTAATATCGATAGAATTGACTTTTGCAAAAGTGAAATGCAGAAGCATCCCCAAAGCCTCACAGAAGCTCTAAGTCCTGGGGCAGCCTCTCCCTCCTCCACTTTTCCCCTGTTCCTCTCCCTCTCCCTCAAGGCACCTGCCCTCCGCTCAGCCCTGCCTGTGGCTTCCTTCTCACTTTTTCTTCTGAACGGGATCCGCAGCTCAGTTTACACTGGTCTCTAAGTGCCACCTAGAGCGGCAGCCCCAGTCCATAAATCTACCCAGTCTTCCAGCTCAGCCCCCACAGCCGCCTGCCTGCCTTGGGCATCCTAACTTAATGCTGGCATTTTCAATAATTTGATTGCTCCACTTCAGTAACATTATGCAGCTGTTCCAAGCAGCTGCTATGCCAGGGGCTATGAGAGCCAGTGGGTCTCATTCTAGGGCTACAGAGGGCCAAGTACTCTAGGAAGGGGTGTGAGCCAAGGGGAAACAAGAGCCTTTTTAGTACACCTCATCCCATCACCCACACCTAGAGCGTCTACACTCCATGCACCACACGTACCACTTGACACATGGGCTCTAAACCTGGAGAATCTCGTTATCCAGAGCAGAGAGCTCCCCTACCCCATGTGTCCAGGCATGTCTGGGAGGGGGCAGCTGGGGCAGCAGGATGCTGGGCTAGTTACCTCCACTACCCTGTTGAGGCTCCAAATCCCAGGGAGACAAACAGATATTTCCTTTGTAAGCCAGGACACGAAAAAGTGGGGAAGCCCTGCCTTAGGGTAGATTCATCTTATTCTCCCATTGGGCAAAAATGACCATGAAAACCCAAAAGAGTTGAGAACATGGACTCAAAGGGATATGTGCACACCCACATTCGTGGCAACACTATTCACAACCAAAAGTGGAAGCGGCCCAAGTGCCCATTGACAGAAGAATGGATGAAAAAAATGTGGCATGGCCATACAGTGGAATATTATTCCACTTTAAAAAGAAAGAAAATCTGAGCCAGGTGTAGTGGCTCACACCCATAATCCCAGCACTTTGGGAGGTGGAGGCAGGAGGGTCCCTTGAAGCCAAGAGTTCCAGACAAGCATGAGCAACATAGTGAGTCCCTCTCTTTACAAAAATAAAAATTCAAAAATTAGCTACGCATGGTGGTGCATGCCTGTACCCCTGGTTATTCGGGAGGCAAGAGGATCCTTTGAGCCCAAGCGTTCTAGTCTGCAATGAGCTATGATCACACGAGTGCACTCCAGCCTGGGCAACAAGGCAAGACCCTGTCTCAAAAAAAAGAGGAAAAGAGGAAGAAGAAAGAAGAAGAAGAGGAAGAAGAAGAAGAAGAAGAAGAAGAAGAAGAAGAAGAAGAAGAAGAAGAAGAAGAAGAGGAAGAGGAAGAGGAAGAGGAAGAAGAAAGAAGAAGAAGAAGAAGAGGAAGAGGAAGGAGCAGGAGGAGGATGGAGGATGGAGGATGGAGGATGGAGGGGGAAGGGGGAAAGAATTCTGACACATGCTACAATATGTTGAATCTTGAAGACACTGCTGGGTGACATAAGCCAGTCACAAAAGGACAAATGCTGTCTGATTCCACTTATATGAGGTTCCTGGAGTAGTCAAACTCATAGAGACAGAAGTAGAATGCTGGTTGCCAGTGGCTGGGGAGAGGGGAAATGGAGAGTTATTGTTTAGTGGGCATATAGTTTCAGTTTGCAAAGATGAAAAAAACCTGGTAGCGATTGTTGAACAATGTGAACGTACTTAATGCCACAGAACTGTACGCTTAAAAATAGTTTAAATGGTAAATTTTATGGCACGCGCATTTTATCGAAATTTTTAAAGGGACTATGAAGGGTAACGTGTATGAAATAAAATGGTTAGAACTCTCTTGCGGTCCTTTCGATACATTCTAAACCTGAGTTGGGGTTGCGGGAGGGGTAGGTTGAGAGATTTCTTTCCAGAAAGAAAACAGCCACAACCACAACACCTCCACTCCCCACCGCGCCAGAAGGTGGCCAGCACGGGGATGCGCTGCGGCAAACCTAGGAGGGACCCAAAAGCAGAAAATCCTAGAAAAGAGTTCCTGCGGATGGAACAGCGGGGCGGCTCTGAGATGCAGTCTGTGTCCCCGCTCAGCTGGGGAATTGTCTGCCCTCTAGAGGCGGGTCTGGGTAGCAATTAAAGAATGTTTCTCTGGGCTCCTTTAAAGAGGAAAAGTGAAGCCAAGACGGAGGGTACAAGAGAGGAGACCAGGACTTCCGTCTGCTGCTGATGAAAGAGGCAAAAAGCTCTGGGAAATCTCTGCTCTCTCCTTTCTTTCAGAATGTGATCGTTTGGAGCTAGAGGGCATGAAGTGACCTGCTGGCCGCCTTGCCACACCAAGTCAGAGCCGTCCCTAAGAACCCACACCTGCCGTACAGACCCTGAGCTCCTGCTCCTCTTGAGCCTTCAAGGATAGAGTTAGGCAGGAGGAATTCATGGCCAGAGACTTACTACCCCATAGAACAGATGTGTTTCTAAATCTAGCCAAGGTTGCATAACATGGAATTCTTTATCTTCAATTTTGAAAACAAATGGTTTGTCCTAAAATTAGAATGTGGTGGTGGTTGCACCATTCTGTGAATATACTAAAACTCAATACACTGCATAATTAGATGAGTGAATTTTATGATGTGTGAATTATATCTCAATAAAGCAGTTTAATTAATAAATGGTTGCCCCACAAGCTGATTTTTTTTTTTTTAAGAGATAGGGTCTCACTGTCGCCCAGGCTGGAGTGCAGTGGCACTATCTCGGCTTGCTGCAGCCTCAACCTCCTGGGCTCAGGCAATCTGCCTCCCTCAGCCTCCCAAGTAGCTGGAACCATAGGCATGCGCCACCACACCTGGCTAATTTTTTTATTTTTTTAGAGACAAGGTCTTGCTATGTCGCCCAGGCTGGTCTCAAACTCCTGCACTCAAGTGATCTTCCTCCTTGGCCTCCCAAAGCTCTGGGATCACAGGTGTGAGCCATCGAGCCCAACCTCCACAAAATGATTTAAAATTTCTTTATGGAAATCTCATAAGCACAGAGGACATTTGTTGGGTTGTTTGTGTTCTTGACTGCCCAGCGCCTGATCCCTCTTTGAAATAGCACCTTGCTCTTGCTGTGGAAGCTGAAGGGAACAGAATCTCCATTTCGGATCCTCCCACAGCACAGGAGAGGCGAGGAGGGTGTGAACTGGACTTGGCTCTGAAGCAAGATGCCAGACCCCAAAGAACAGCCGAGAAGGTGGTGCTGACTGGCCAGCTCCTGAGGGCCCTGCGGGGCCTCTGGCCTCTTCCCACCATAAAGGTCCATGGTTCCGGCCCTTTTGCAAACAGATCCTTTGGACTCACAAAGTCCCAACAGGCCTTCCAATCAATTCTCTTTTGTCGAAGACAGCAGGACACCATTTCTGTCGATTGAGTCCAAGAACTCTGAACAATATATGTGAGAGAACTGGGATGTTCAAAGAAAAGCTGAGCATTTGTTTATTTGAGGTTTGTTTGTGTGTTTTAACTTTCTGGTACACTTCTTGAAACTGGGCTTATTATGGCCTAGCAGGACTCCTAGGTCAAACTGCTTTAAAGAATGGGTAAGAATAGCTTATAAGAAATGCATCAATGATATATACATAAGGAGAGCTTAAAAGCTCCTCAGTGCTCTTAAAATATTTTAAAATAATTTTTTAAAAAATAATATTGTCTCTTCCATATATTTTTGTGCACTCAGCATTGCCAAATTCTTGAGAACATCTTTTTCTTAAGTTAAAATAGTGGTAAACCAGCTGGTAAATTTCCTCCAAATTATCAAAAACTTTGGAGTTACTAGAATTATAGGAAATGAGATTTAATGTAAAGACAACTTAATGTGTTAAAAGTTTTAGCTCAAGCCTTTTTTTCTGTCTCTTACTGAAAAAGGTACATGCTTCCTGTAGAATATTGAGAAATACCTATAAACACACAATCTAGTAGTTGTCATTGTAACTGCAGGAGGGGTAGCAGTAGCCTGTGAGGATATGACAGGGGGGCGATCCCTCTGAGAAGGCCTTGAGGGGGCTCTCAGGCACGCTCTCTGGGAGAGAGGTAAGGGCAGGGAATGCCCGTGGGAAGCTAAGTGTACACACCTGCTTAGCTCTACACCTGCTCTTCTATCCCCACAGAAAAGACACTAAGGAGAGGCTCTTGCCAGAAGAAAAACATTAGAGGAAATTACAAACCTCCAGAAGGAAATTCCAGAAATCCCCGGAGTTTATTTCTTATTGGGAATAGAAGAGCATTTGGCCACCTAAGCCTTTTAATTTGTTCAGAATTTGTGGTATGCATGTCATAGGGGGATCTCAGAGGCTAGGGAGAGACAGCCACTGGAACCGCTGTTTCTAAGACCCTCTTCCTACCCGCCCACGGAAGTGGGAATGGGGATGGAAGGCCGCACCAGAGAACACTGGCTGAGACATGACTCAGGGACCCACACTCCTCCTCCCTGCACCTCTCCCATCTTCAACGTGCAGCTTTGCAGTGGCGAGCCAGAGAAGCAAGACGAGGAGGTGGCTCACATCACTGCTGCTCAGACTGGGAAGTGTTTGAACCCTGAGGGTTTGTTTAAACTTCCAGGCCAGTCTCCACACAGCAAGAGTGGGACCATATGGGGGTTAAAAAAAGAAACCCGGTCGGGCGCAGTGGCTCACACCTATAATCCCAGAACTTTGGGAGGCCGAGGCAGGTGGATCATTTGAGGCTAGGAGTTCGAGACCAGCCCGGCCAACATGGTGAAACTCCGTCTTTACTAAAAATACAAAAATTAGCCAGGTATGGTGGTGGGTGCCTGTAATCCCAGCTACTCGGGAGGCTGAGACAGGAGAATCGTTTGAACTCGGGAGGCAGAGGTTGCAGTGAGCCAAGATCATGCCACTGCACTCCAGTCTGGGTGACAGAGTGAGACCCTGTCTCAAAAAAAATAAAACAAAGTAAAATAAAAAAAGAAACCCAGCTGGATGCAGTGGCTCATGCCTGTAATCCCAACAATTTGGGAGGCAGAGGTGGGTGGATCACTTGAGCTCGAGTTCAAGACCAGCCTGGGCAGCATGGTGAAACCCCGTCTCAATAAATAAATAAATAAAAGAAAACCTATCCGTGCATCACAGTGGTGCTCTTTTTTTAATTTATACCTGTTTATCAAGGATTAGAGTATAACTTTTTAAACTAATTTTATTTTGTCCTCAGACCACTCTCTTTTGGCATCTTCATTGATGGGAACTGTAAACCCTGTCACACCAACTAGATATAGCTATTCCCCCAGTGCTCCTGCTTTCCCTCTGTTATCTGCTTTCATTCACATGGTGAAAAATTGAATTTCCGGCATGTCTTCCTTGTGGGGAGGCTGAGAGTCTAGCACCTTTTTAGGATTTTGCAATTATGTGTGCAGTGTCGGTAGCTTGCTGTATGGTCCTGTCCCGTATGTTGAATTTCCTCAAAGATACCATGTGTGCGTATGTGTGTGCGTTTGCCACATTTACTGTGTTGTTTTTGATTAGTATCTCTTTCCCACCAATTAGACTATTGCTATTTGTTTAAATAAATGATCCCTGTAAACTAATCACCATACAATAATCACTACCTCTTTTAAATGATATCATTTAGAAACAGACATATAATCATCAAGGTGCAATCTGGCGACTTTCTTCATTCCCCTATTGCAAGAGTTACCTCTTCCTCTTTTTTTTTTTTTTTTTTTTTTCTGAGACGGAGACTCGCTCTGTCGCCCAGGCTGGAGTGCAGTGGCACAATCTCGGCTCACTGCAAGCTCTGCCTCCTGGGTTCACGCCATTCTCCTCCCTCAGCCTCCAGAGTAGGTGGGACTACAGGTGCCCGCCACAACACCCGGCTAATTTTTTGTATTTTTAGTAGAGACAGGGTTTCACCGTGTTAGCCAGGATGGTCTTGATCTCCTGACCTCATGATCCGCCCGCCTCGGCCTCCCAAAGTGCTGGGATTACAGGCGTGAGCCACGGCGCCCCGCCAAGAGTTACCTCTTAGGTTGACCATGGTGTTTTTCTCCAAAGCTTAATTTAAAAAATTCAAATCTTACCACTAGCACCACCTTAAAGTCCAAAGTACATTTGGACATTTAACTGCCCCCCCAGATTTGACTGTCCCAAGGCCATTATTACATCACAGGTTCTATGGGTTACTTTTATCTAAATTTTATCTCAATTTTCTGATAGCATTTAATTTCCTTTTTAGCTGAGAGAAAGTGCTTTCACACAGCCAGACAAAGTCCCGTCAGCTCCCCATGGACTCAATGACTCACCTCTCATCCTCTGAAGCGTTCACTGTGGGTCATGCACACTTGTCCATATTTCTAAATCCTAGGTCGACAAATAATGTACGCAGCCACCCTCACTCCCTGAACAATCAGAAATGGAGGTTTGGCCAGGCACATGGCTCATGCCTGTAATCCCAACACTTTGGGAGGCCAAGGAAGGTCCAGGAGATTGAGGCTGCAGTGAGCTAAGATTGTGCCACTGCACTCTAGCCTGGCAACAGAGTGAAACTCTGAGAAAGAAAGAGAAAGAGAACAGTGCATAGTCTTTTCATTTAGAATGAATTTTCACACCAAAAATATATCATTTGATCTCACACCTGGATGAATTCAGCACACACTGATGCCCACTTTATCATCTATGTGTTTCTAGAAGTTAGTCTCTTTTCCTTAGTTGATAATCTTTGTTTTCAAATTCTTAAAAATAGAAATCTCTCCAGATTCAGGTGCAGTGGTATGACAGAACAGTGCAATGGTTAATAAAATGAAATTTGCAAGCAGATAGAACTGGATTCAAAGCCCAGCTCTACCATTTATAGTTTTATCTCCTTGGTCAAGTCACTTGACATCTCTGAGTCTCAGTTTTCTCACCTGTAATATGAGGCTAATAATCAACTCTGCCATACAAGGTTGTCAAAGTAAAACAAAGTCATACATATAGAAGCTTAGCACAATCTCTAGACATAAGTAGTTGCTCAATCAGTGATAGCATTTACATCATCATCACCAGCATCATCATCACGGCAGGGCTGCCAAGCTTGAGCAAGAGCGTGTCAGCCAGGGTTGTGGCTGTATTTCTCTGGTTCTCATTCTACAATATCTCTCCCACTCTCCCTGTTTCCCCCTCTCCCAGTCTCTCCTTTGTCTACTCCCATCACATGGGGGTGTCCATCCCTTTCCATCCAAGGCCACATTCACCCTCATTTTCATGCAGTTTTGTGTCTTTAATTTTTACCTCTTTGAAAATCACTTTCAAATCTTCTCTGCCAAACTTCAAATCTGAGTTTTTCACTATCTTCCAGACATTCCTCCCAATGTATCCTAGCAACCCCTCCATCTTAACATGTCCAAAACTAAACACACAATTATCTCACTCAAAAACCTATTCCTCCTTCTTAACCTATTGATGTGAATTGGCATCATGATTATCTTATTTTCCCAAGCATAAAATCTTAATACTGGTCTTTAACTTCTTCCTTACTCCTACACTAGCAATCACTGTGCCATACACTCCAAGGCAGTTTCATTATAACTGCAAAGCATCTCTAGAAGCCTCTCCTCTACCACCACCCTACTTTATACCCCAGGACACACCACCTAGGGCATAGTCAGTCTCCTGATCATTCTCTACACCCTGTTGAGCTGGGATTGCTTCACTTTCTTATGCAAAGATCTTGAGTAGCTTCCTGTACTTTATTAAATAAACCTTCATTCCCTACCCTGGACTCAAGGCCCTCCATAATTTGGCAGTTGGTGACCTTTCCAACTCATGTGTCACTGCAACTACCACTGTCTCCTGCCCTCCAACCACATAGGACTGTTCACTATTTCTCTAATATATCCTATCCTCTCTTGTCCTGGTAACATGGTTTATTCCACATGGGATCCTTCCTCCCCTTCCCTCTCTTTCTGCCTAACCAAACCCTACATGTCCTGAAATATCTACTATACATGTTTCCTCCTTAATGAAACTTCCTCATTCTCCCCACAAGAATTAATATTCCTACTTGGTGACACTCCCCACTGCCACAATTTCTCTGTCTCTTCTGCCTTACACTAGAGTGAAGACTTACCTCCCCTTCTAGATGTAAATATCCTTGAAAGGAAAAGAAAATCTTGCTTTGTGCTTCTTATTCTATTTCCCTAGGCACACAGCAGAATCCCATACAAACAGTAAAATATAAATGTTTATTGACTTTTTTAAACTTTCAAAATAATTAAACATAATTTGTAACAGAGTTGTAGTCCTGTCAACTCTCCCTGACAGTGAAAAGTGAGCTGCTTAGGTATCAGCCATGGCCCATGATCAACCATCATAGAATCCTCCCAGGATCCTGTCAAATCATGATTCAGGTTACCTATCACATCCAGAATGATCCTAGTATTTTGCCCCAAAATACTAAGATTCATGAAAGTGTTATCAAACGGCCAAGAATAGAGATGGTCCTTTTTAATGTGAACTCTGTATCCTCAGACTTCCAGAAACCAGGCCAAGAATAGAGATGGTCCTATTTAATGTGAGCTCTGTATCCTCAGACTTCCAGAAACCAGCACATGGGTTCAGTTTCCCCATTTTCTATGGAAATCCTTGTCACACCTGTTGTCTATGTTGAATATTGCAAGGGGCCTGTTTGGTGTTTGAGTTTGCACTAGGGGCCCAGGAAAGACTGAATATAAAATGGTCCTTCCTAGATGGGCACGGTGGCTCACGCCTGTAATCCTAGCACTTTGGGAGGCCAAGGTGGGTGGATCACTTGAGCCCAGGAGTTCGAGACCAGCCTGGGCAACATTGTGAAACCCCGTCTCTACAAAAAATACAAAAATTAGGTGGGTGTGGTGGTATGCCCCTGTGGTCCCAGCTATTCAAAAGGCTAAGATGGGAGGATCACTGGAGTCCAGGAGGTGGAAGTTGCAGTAACCTGAGATTGTACCACTGCACTCCAGCCTGGGTGACAGAGTGAGACTCTATCTCGGAAAAAAAAAAAAAAAAAAAAAAAAAAATCCTTCGTGAAATAGAGGGATATGTCTTGGCCCCTGATGTAACCAAAAACTCAGATTCTGGGAAAGGCCTTTTTTGTTAAATTTCCTTCAATATCTCTGAGTCAATTCAATTATTTCCCCAATAAAGACACCAAAGCTCTATCAAAAAAAAAAAAAAATTCCCTGCACAACCCAAGCTCTGACTCTTAAACTGTCTGTGCGCAAGCCTTTAGGGCAAGTCTATTGAGAGCTAAAAGCCCTCTGCATTGGATTCAATGTTGAGTCTTGGCAAAATCTTTATTAGCCATCCTAGGCCAAGGCAACTTCAACCACTCCTGCCCTGAGTAACTCTAATTTTCCTCCCCTGGTTCTTGATCCACCACATGAAGTAAATTTTCTTGAACATTAAGCATTTGCAAGTATAAAACAAAGAACACTTTAAATTGGAAATTTAAAATTCAAAAGTGAAACAGACAAAAAAGTGGAGCAATGTGTATAAGAGTTCACCAAACTCAGGAAATAAATTGAAGGAAAAACAAGATCATCTCAGAAATGTGGACTTTGTAAAGTACCTAGGGATAACTGCTTTGACTGAAATTATAGAAATTTAAGTAGAAGAATGAGAAAAATCAAGAGAATTAAAATAAATAGATGATAAAAAGGAGCAAAAAGAAAAAAAGTCTTTAGCTGTTTAACTTTAGCAAAGAAAATCCAACATTTTCAACAGATAAAACTTTGAAGTCCCCTACAAGGAAAACAAAGCAATGGAGCATCGTATTTAAATTAGTAATCCCAAAAAAATGTGTGAAAAAAAGAAGACCTGAGTCTATATAGAAAATATATAGGAAAGATTGAAAATATGACTGAGAAAACTGAACCAGAATGGTCAAACCCAAAATATACTCCTAGTAAAACCATTAGATTTTAAGAAATGGGAAAAATTTTCTCTCAGACTCCATCAAAGATCAAGCCACTTAAAAAGTTAAAAAAAAAAAAAAAAGAAAAAAATCAGGTTGGCATTTGCTAGCCCAATAGCAACATAAAAAGCAAGATAGCAATGGAGAAATAGTTTCTAAAACTCAAGAGAAGAAAAGGGTGAGGCAAGGATGCTATTTATGTCCCGCCAACTGTCCTAGAAGTATCATGCTATAGAGGAGGAGTCACAAATTTTTTTCTGTAAAGGACCGGAGAGTAAATATTTTAGGCTTTGCAAACCATGCAGTTTCTGTCACAATTATTCAGCTCTGCTGTTGTAGTGCAAAAGTCACCAAAGACAAGACAACTACACAAATGGAGGAGAGTGGCTATGTTCCAATTAAACTTATTTATTAAAAACTTCTAGTAGGCTACAGGGACAAGTAGGCCATGGGACAAGGTTTGTTGACCCCGTGGGTAGACTGTTGGGCTTGGCAATTGTATACCTTATTCATGCAAAGAATAAAAAATGGATTGTTCCACAAAAGCTACTTCTATCACTTACAGTGCTGCTTAAGCCATCCTGAAGTCTGAATGTAGATTATGGCTGACTGGGTTACCTACATTCACACATCATCATGAACCATTTAAAAATGAATAATCACAAATAGAATACAACATACCATGTCTATACTCAACTTTCTGGCTTTGAGCATTTGTGGCTCTTCTGCTCAGCCATCCTGCCTGCACTCCCACCCCTACTTGCACCATTTGGTCTGCACCCCAGCCCCCAGCATTCTTCACCACTCAGAAAGGTCAGGTCCTTCCAGAGCTTTGGGGTTCTCAGACAGCAGAATAAAGGCCTTGGACACTCACCCATCCACTGCTGTAAGCCGAGATGCTCACCAAGATTGACATGTTTATTCAATGTTTATTTAGCCCTTTTCTTGTGTTAAGCATAATGCTAGAGGTGAAAATTTAAAAATCACAGAATACAGCTTTCAAGAAGCATGCACTAGACTGCCATCTGCAAAATGGTGAATTAGGCATTTCATTCCTCAAAAGAAATGTAGAAAAACAAGAAGGAACTGTTGACACCAACTTTGTCAGAACTCTGGAAAACAGTCAAAAGTTTTCAGCAACCAAGTGAGCACTGAATAAAGAAAAAGGCATTTCAAAATGGCAGGAAAGTTTTATGATAATTTTACTTACCCTTTTCCAACGCCCTCCCCAGCATAGCAGTACTTAAAGGAGCAGCATCCTTTGTTCCTGCAGAGAAACCCTGGTCCCTGACTCCAGAGAGAGCAGAGTAGACCTTATTCACTAATTATTGTATATATCCATTTTAACTTGCCTGGGGACTATGTAAAAGAATGATGGAAGGCACTCATCTCTGTTTTTCTTAACTCAGAACTCAGGCTAAAAGAGTGATGAGCATTACCAAAAACACTGAAGAATGAACTAACAACCTGGGACAAAAAATTATAGTTGAAACATACATCTGACTGTATGGCACAAAAGATTAGAGAGTAAACATATATCACATTGCCTAAAGCAAAAGCTGGGCTGAGTTTTGTTGGGAATGTAGAATATTCAAAACCAGCCATGTATACTAGGGAATTTAGAAAGCCACGTGCAAGCCTACAACAGAACACATGCTCATAAAAGCCCTATACTTTAACATTGGGTCTTCTCACTAAGGCCCTAAACTTCAACCTAGGGCTGAGCTCTGAGCTCAGTGCAAGCTTAGCTAAATGTTGAAGGAGGGCACTGGCACAGATCCAATCTGCGAAGACTATAAGAGGTATTGTTCTCTCTCTTGCTTTTTGAATGTTTGTTTTATTCGTTGTTTTTGTGTTTAGCTGTCAAAAATTTTTTTTTAATGGATCCAAAAAAATCTCTGTCAAAAAACTAGTTGAACACAAGCTAAGGAACAGAGACTTCAGTGACCACACATGACAAGGAATATAGTGTTTGCAATAGTATTTTGGGAAAGTCACTAGATAAATAGACTACTACAGCTTTCAACAATCAAAAACAAACAGAGGAAAAACACAGAAAACCCTGGGGAAGGGAGACAGTCTGATTTCTGGAGTTATACATTATGATACACAAATGTCCACTTTTTGAAAAAAAAAATCACAAGAACAAGAAAGATATGACCAATTCAAAAGAAACAAAATAAATCAACAAAAACTGTCCTCAAGAAACTCCGAACATCCTACTTACTAAATAAAAACTTCAGAACAACTGTGTTAAGGATGCTCAATAAGCTAAAGGAAAACACAGAAAACTAAGTCAGTAACACTGTGTATGAACAAAATGTGAATATCAATAAAAAGATGTAAATTATAAAGAGGAAAGAACTGAAATTCTGAAGCTGAAAAGTATAATCACTAAAAAGAAAATTTTACTAGAGGAGTTCGGCAGCAGATTTAAGCAGAGGCATCAGCAAACATGAAGATAGGACAATTGAATTGTCAAGTTTGAGGAGCAGAAAGAAAAAAGATTAAAGAAAAATTAACGTAGTCTAAGGGACCTGTGGGATGCCATCAAGTAGACAAAAATACACATAGTGGGAATCAAAAGAAAAAGAGATAGCAGCAGCTATAAATATTCTTTAAAGAAATTATGACTGAAAACTCCCCAGATTTGAAGACAAGAATCTAAAATCCAAAGCAGTTAATGAACTTCAAGTACAATAAACTTAAAGAGACCCACACTGACAAACATTATAATCAGCTGTCAAGAGCAAATGATAAAGAGAATCTTGAAAGAGACAAGAGAGAAATGACATGTCACATACAAAGAATTCTCAATAACATAACAGCTGATTTCTCATCAGAAACAGTGGAGGCTAGAAGACAGTGGGATGACAAAAATCAAAAATTCCTCCCTTAAAATGAGGGAGAAATTAAGACATTCCTAGCTAAACAAATGCTGAGATAGTTTGTTACCTGTACACCTGCCCTGCGAGAAATGCTAAATGGACTTCTTCAGGTTGAAATGGAAACATGCTAGACAATAACTTGAAGGCATATGAAGAAATAAAGATCTCTGATAAGGATAAATACATAGGCAAATATAAAAGCAATCATTGTATTTTTGGCTTGTAACTTCACTTTCTATTTTCTACATGATTTGAAAGACAAATACATAAAAATTATAAATTTATGCTATTGGACACACAATGTGTAAAGATACAAGTTGAGACCAAAAAAATAAAATAAAATATAGAGGAGGATACCCTGGTGGTCTATTGGTTATGGAAGAAAAGGAAAAAAAGAAAAAAGTAAGAAAGAGGGGGAAGGTGGAATTATACGAAGGAGAGTTTGAGTATGCTATCTGAAGTTAAGTTGATATCAATTCAAAATATATTTTTATAAATTTATGATGTTAAATGTAATATCCATGGTAAACAAAGAAAATATAGAATATGTACAAAAGAAAATAAGGGAATAAAAATGGTTTACTATAAAAAAAATCAACTCAATAAAATAGAATTCAGTGCTGAAAGAAATAAAACAGCAAACAAAACGGTGGAGGACATAGAGAAAACAACAAAACGGCAGAAACAAGTGCTTCCTCTTTTTTTTTTCCTTTTTTTTTTTTTTTTTTTGAGACAGAGTCTCTGTCACCCAGGCTGAAGTGCAGTGGCACTATCTCTGCTCACTGCAACCTCCACCTCCCAGGTTCAAGTGATTCTTGTGCCTTAGCCTCCCAAGTAGCTGGGACTACAGGCACCTGCCACCAGTGCCAGGCTAATTTTTGTAATTTTTGGTAGAGATGGAGTTTTGCCATATTGCTCAGTCTGGTCTTGAACTCCTGAGCTCAAGTGATCCGCCCACCTTGGCCTCTCAAAGTGCTGGGATTACAGGCGTGAGCCACCACACCCAGCCAGAAACAAGTACTTCCTAGCCAGTAATTACTTTAAATGTAAACAGATTAAGCTCTCCAAAAAAGAAAAAAAGAGGCAAATTCACAGAATGAATTTTTTGATTTAAAAAAACCTGTGATCCATCTATCTGTCTACAAGAGACTCACTTTAGATCACCAAACACAAATAGATTGAAAGTTAAAAAAATGGGAAAAAATATTCCATACAAAGAGTAGTCAAAAGAAAGCTAGGGTGGCTATACTATCAGACAAAATAGTCTTTTAAGTAAAAAAATGTTAGAAGAGACAAAGAAGGACAATATATATTGATAGAAAGGTTAATTCATCAAGAAAGTATAACAATTATAAAGATATATACACCAAACAATATGTCCCCAAAAACATTTGAAGCAAATATTCATGGAATTGAAGAAATAAATATACATACAAGAATACTACAATAATAGTAGTAGACTTCAATACATCATCTTCAATGATACATAGAACATCTAGGCAGAAGATCAATAAAAATATAGAAGACTTGAATAACACTATTCACCAACTAGACCTAACAAATATATTAAAACATTCCACCCAACAATAGCAGAATACATATTATTCTAACATGCTTGTGAAACACTCTCCAGGGTAGACCATATAGTAGGCCACAAAACAAGTTTCAATAAATTTTAAAAGATTGAAATTATCCAAACTATTCTTTCCAACCACAATGGAATGAAACTAGAAATCAATAACAGAAGGAAAACTGGAAAATTCACAAATTTGTGGAAATTAAACAACACACATTTAAACAACCAATGAGTCAAAGAAAAAAATACAATTGAAATTAGAGAATTACTGATTCAATAATAAGAATTACTAATTCAGAAAGTCTTCAAAATACAAGATCAAGACACAAAAATAAATTATATTTCCATACACCTTCAGTGAACAATCCAAACTGGAAATTGAGAAGGCAATTCCATTTACAATAGCCATCTGAAAGAATAAAATACCTAGGAATAAATTTAACCAAGGTAGTGAAGGACTTGCACAATGAAAACTACAAAACATTGCTGAAAGAAATCACAGGAGAACTAAATAAATAGAAAGATGTCCAATGTTTATGCTTAGGAAGACTTAATATTGTTAAGATGTCAGCATTATGCAATGCAATCTACAGATTCAATTGAATCCCTAGTAAAATGTCAACAGCCTTTTCTGTAGCAGTGGAAAAGCTGATCCTCAAATTCACATTGGACTACAAGAGGCCCAAATAGCCAAAACAATCTTGAAAAACAAGAACAAAGTAAAAGGATTCACAATTTCAGATTTCAAAGTTTAATACAAAGCTATAGTAATCAAAACAGTGTGGTACTGGCATACAGATAAACAGATAAACCAATGGAATACAATTGAGAGCCAGAAATAAGCCTATACAACTATGGTTGATTAATTTTTGGCAAGGGTGCCAAGCCCACTCAATGGCAAAAAAGCAGTCTCTCAGACAAATTGTATTAGGACAACTGGATTTTCATATGCATTAAGGAAGGCAGTTCAAACCCTACCTTATGCCATATAAAAAATTTAATTCAAAACAGCTCAAGAGAAAACCCTACACATGTGAACAAAAACCTTAAAACTCTTAGAAGAAAGAAGTAAATCTTCATGACCTTGGATTTGGCAATGGAATCTCAGATGATGTCAATAACATGAGCAACAAAAGAAAAAATAGATAAGTTGGATTTTATCAAAATTTAAAACATTTGTGCATCAAAAGATATGATCAAGAAAATAAAAATACATCCTAGAGAATGGGGGAAATATTTTCAAATCATATATTTGGTAAGAGCTTAGTATCCAGAATATGTAAAGAGCTCTTAAAACTCAACAACATAAAGACAAACAATTCAAAAATGAGCAAAGAACTTGAATAGACATTTTCTAATGAAGAGGTATAAATGGTAAATAAGCATAGGAGGAGAGGGCTCAACATCCTCAGTCATTAGGGAAATGAAAATCAGAATGAAATACCAATTCATATTTACTAGGATGGCTATAATAACCATGTTTTAAACATAGAAAATAACAAATATGGGTGAGGATATGAAAAAATTGGAGCACTTGTAAATTGCTGACGGGAATGTAACATGATGCAGCCACTGTGGAAGAGCATTGAACTTTGTCAAAAAGCTAAACACAGAATTACAATATGACCTAGCAATTCCACTCCTAAATGTGTACCCAGAAGAACTGAAAACAGGAATTCAAACAGATACTTCTACACCAATTTCATCGAAGCATTATTCACAATAGCCAAAAAGTAGGAACAATCTCAGTGTTCATCAACAGAAGAATGAATAAATCAAATGTGATATATCCACACAATGGAATATTATTCAACCATAAAAAAGGGATGAAGTTCTAATACATACTACAACACAATGCATCTTGAAGACATCATGCTAGGTGACATATTGTCTGATTCCACTTATGGAAGTAACTAGAATGTGAGATACCCCTGGACTTTCTGTCATAGTGACTGAAAGGAGATTAAAGGTTACCAGGACCCTGAGGGAGGGGGGAAAGGGAATCATTGCTTACTGGGTAGAGAATTTCTGTTCGGGATGAAAATTTTTAGAAACAGATAGTGGCAATAGTTATATAACAGTGTGAATGTAATTAATGCCACTGAACTGTACAGTTAAAAATGGTTAACATGGCAAACTTATATCTATTTTGCCACAATTAACAACAACAAAAAAAGCATGGGCTATTAGTAGAGACAGGTTAAAAAAATAAATTGTGATAAGTACTATGAAGGTTATGTATACAAGGATAAGTGGAATAGGACTATAATTAACTAATGCCCCATAAAAAGAAAGAGACTGGGCAAGATTTTAAAGAGTAGATGCCATTTTGGTAGTAGTAGTAGCAGTAATAGTAGTTTTCCAAGTAAATAACATAGAAGAGGAGCACTAAAAACAGAGGGAATAACATATATAAAAATAAGAAAGTGGCCAGGCACGGTGGCTCACGCCTGTAATCCCAGCACTTTGGGAGGCCGAGGCGGGTGGATCACGAGGTCAGGAGATCGAGAACATCCTGGCTAACACGGTGAAACCCCGTCTCTACTAAAAATATAAAAAATTAGCCAGCATGGTGGCGGGCGCCTGTAGTCCCAGCTACTTGGGAGGCTGAGGCAGGAGAATGGCGTGAACCTGGGAGGTGGAGCTTGCAGTGAGCCGAGATTTCGCCACTGCACTCCAGCCTGGGCGACAGAGCCAGACTCTGTCTCAAATAAATAAATAAATAAATAAATAAATAAAATAAGAAGGTAAGAAATAGTAAGCTACAGTTGAAAATTAGTGGCATGCAAGTTGGCTTTACATACAGTGATGACACAGAGTTGTTTTATTTGACTGCCTTTTTAAACACATTTGAGCTAATATTTTTAAATTGGAAGATTTCACATAAGAATATGGATTTCTGGTTTCCCTTGAAAGATTTCTCCTGAATGAAGCTTCTAGCAATTTGAAGCCTGAATTTCACACCAAAAGTCTGCTGAGCCCTAGCTGTGGCTACACTCTTCAGCCAGAGCCATTCACAGATATCTGCGGGTATATTTGCACTGGCCTTTGCTCACTTGCACTATTTATCTGGTTCTATGGTCTGAATGTTTGTGTCTCTCCAAAATTAATATGTCAAAATCCTAACCCTAAAGGTGATGGTATTTGGAGACTAGGGAGCTTTTGGGAAGGTGATTAGGTCACCTAGGGCAGAAGCTTCATGAATGGGATTAGTGTCCCTACAAAAGAGGATCCAGACAGCTCCCTTGCTCCTGCCACCATGTGAGGACACAGTGATAAGGGGCCCTCTATGAATCAGGAAATAGATCCTCATCAGACACAGAATCTGCTGTTGCCTTGATCTTGGACTTCCCAGCCTCCAGAACTGTGAGAAATATTTCTGTTGTTCATAGAATTATAAGGAATTTCACAAGTCTACAATATTTTGTTACAATAACCTCAACAGACCTAAGGTATCTTGGCTCTGTGGGTCTCTGAGATTGCTACCCCTGCCATAGGGAGTTTAGAGGTACAAGTGCATAAATTAGATACATAGATAGATAGATAGATAGATGATTGATTAGATGATTGATAGATGATAGGGAGACCGACAGAGACAGGTGAAAGCATATTTAGAAATATACTGAACAGTGCATAAAGTGTGTATGTATATCTATGACAAAAGATAAAGCTGAAGAGCTATGTAGCACTCAAATCATAAACACTCCTTTCACATATCCACTTTTCTGACTGATGCATAAGCTGACTATGACTAAAAGGAGTGTATGCCAAACATCCGATTGAGGTGCCGTCTCTCCTTCACAAAGCACCACGATGGGACTCTCAGGGAGCAGGCAGCAGACATCTGTCTAAACAGTTCACAGAGAGCAGAGCCAGGGGCAATTGCACACCAGCAGAGCAGGTGGAGGCAGGTTGCTCCTAGAATCCCACCTGGGACTGCCCATGGGCGCCACTGGTCATGTAATTAGCTAATGGAGCTGAGAGCAGGCTGCTTTCCAAGGAGAGATGTGACCAGATCAATCAAGCAAGCAACAACACAAATAGCAAAGAATCAATACGGAGGGCATTTTGCTTCCCTGGACAAGGTCTGGCAGAGAGAGTTCAGTGTGAATGTCTGATGAAAAGCCAGCAAGCAGAAAAGTCAAAACTAAAAATAGAAATTCTTTTAACTTTTATGGGAACTCAGAAATGTATACTATATGGATGATTTTATTAACAATAGAATTAATGATAGATGTTTGCAGGAAACGCTACATATTTCCTAACAACTCAACCATAGGGAATCCTATGATTCTTTAAGGCCATTGCCAGGTTATTTTCTACTTCACTTACAATGAACAAATCAATTCTAAAAATTCTATGTATATTTAAAAACATGTTAAGGACTCAATACATTTACCATTTCATCTGTAGCAGTCTGTCACTCTCATGTATAAATCTGGGAGTTTTTCTAAACATTCAATACTAAAGTTGAGCATGGTCACACATGTCTGCAGTCTCAGCTATTGGGGAGGCAGAGGCGGGAAGATCACTTCAGCTCAGGACTTTGAGTCCAGCCTGGGCAACATACCGAGACTCCACCTCTAAAATAAGCGAGCAAACATTTACTACTAAAAACTAAGTGATTTCTTCAACATATATGATGTTTTGCCGTAATTCATTACTTCTGAGGTTCTACTTATTAAACATTCAATACAGTTTCAGCTTTACAATAGCAAGAAATAGCAGCAATTGTGATTCCATTGGCTTGTTCTTTCACTGGAATAGAGAAGATGCTTTAGAATTGCTTTGGGGTGCGTGTCTATATCTATTCACTTACCACCTTGGTCACTGAAAAACCCTGAGATAGTCACTCTTTTGAGGCATAGCACATCACCTCTGGAAAGCTCTATTTGAAATTCAAAACCAGTATCTGGAAAGAGCCACACATTGAGTTAATATAGCCCATTAATTTATATAATCAAAATTAGCTTAAATGACTTCCTCGCAGTATGCCCCTAAAAGAATGTTACATAGGAAAGCTAGGCCTTTTTGTTTTTTCTTTTTTTTTTTTTTTTCAGATGGAGTAGTCTTGCTCTGTCGCTCAGGCCGGAGGGCAATGGTGCGATCTCGGCTCACTGCAACCTCCACTTCCTGGATTCAAGCGATTCTCCCGCCTCAGCCTCCCAAGTAGCTGGGATTATAGGCACATGCCACCATGCCTGGCTACTTTTTTGTATCTTTAGTAGAGACAGGGTTTTACCATGTTGGCCAGACTGGTCTCAAACTCCTGACCTCGTGATCTGCTCGCCTCAGCCTCCCAAAGTGCTGGGATTATAGGCATGAGCCACTGCTCCCAGCCAAGCTAGGCTTTAAAAAAAAAAAAATTTTTTTTTTTTTGAGATGGAGTCTCGCTGTGTCACCCAGGCTAGAGTGTAATGGCATGATCTCGCTTCACTGCAAGCTCCGCCTCCTGGGTTCACACCATTCTCCTGCCTCAGCCTCCCTAGTAGCTGGGACTACAGGCACCCCCCACCACTCCCAGCTAATCGTTTGTATTTTTAGTAGAGAGGGGTTTTACCGTGTTAGCCAGCATGGTCTTGATCTCCTGAACTCGTGATCCGCCCGCCTCGGCCTACCAAAGTGCTGGGATTACAGACGTGAGCCACCGCGCCAGGACTTTTAAAAAAAATTTTTAGTCAGCTCTCTTAGTTCAAGCTGCTATAACAAACTTATTTTTCATAGTTCTGGAGGATAGAAATCCAAGATCAGGGTGCCAGCATGGTTGGGCTCTAACGAGGGTCTCTTCCAGGTTGCAGATGGCCATCTTCTTCTGCAGGGGCTCACACCTATCATGTCAGCACTTTGGGAGGCAAAGGCAGGAGGATCACTTGAGCCCAGGAGTTTGAGACCAGCCTGGGCAACATAGTGAGACCCCATCTCTACAATACTTTTTATTTAAAAAATAAAAATTAGATGGGCATGATGGTATCTGCCTGTGGTCCCAGCTGCTTGGCAGGCTGAGGTGGGAGGATCACCTGAGCCCAGGAATTTGAGACCAGCCTGGGCAACATAGTGAGACCCCATCTCTACAATACTTTTTATTTAAAACATAAAAATTAGCTGGGCATGATGGTATCTGCCTGTGGTCCCAGCTGCTTGGCAGGCTGAGGTGTGAGGATCACCTGAGCCCAGGAGTTTGAGGCTTCAGTGATCCATGATTATGCCACTGCACTCCAGCCTAGGTGATAGAGTGAGAGCCTACCACAAAAAAAACAACAATTACAACCAAACCCACCTCCCATTTGGTGGCTTACAAGAAAAGGCAAATGTTTGCTCATTCTCACCAGTCTGCAGGCAATTGCACTTTGGCTGACTTAGGCTGGGCTCAGCTGAGTGGCTCTGCTGCAGATGAGGATCTGTCTGGGCTTGGCACCAGGCTAAGTGTTGGGCTCAGGTCTGTCCATGTATGTTTGTTCACGCAGCAGCTATAGGGGAACTTTAAACAACAGAGGAGAGAAAGTACCCATGGAGAGGATGCCCAGTGAGGAATGAGTCCTCTCAGGATTCCCCCTACCAGGGCAGCATCAGGCTCCAGAACCTGAGAGCATGTGTGGAGAATATGCCACCCTAAAATATGCTGCTCTGGCATATTGACTATTTTGAGTAAAAGGCACTTGAAACACAGTCGGTACAAAAAATTCACTCTGACCTTCCTTCCCGAACTTGAACTCCCGGCCTTACACAGTCCTCCCGCCTTGACCCCCAAAGTGCTGAGATTACAGGCAGGAGCCACCACTCCTGGCCTGATCTTCCTTCTGTTTCTTAAAAACAAGAGATGAAATTACCATGCACAAGATGCCTTCCCCATAGCAGAAGGAAAATATCATTCTTATCATCAAGGGCACAAAGTCAAGGCCAAGGGAATTCTGTACAGACCTTGTTAAAATAACTGTTAACTTCTTTTAGCCTCCCCACAGAATTTAGTTATTTTTCTACAACTTACTACTCTTTGTCCACCTCAGTATGTAAGTGTTCAACTCTAACCGCATCTTTGGGTCTTCATTTCCTTTTAAAGGCTCCCATGTCATGTAAACTTTGTCTCAAATAAATGTGTCTGCTTTTCTCCTGTTGATCTGTCTTGTCAATTTAAATATAAGGCCCAGCTGAAAAACCCTAAGAGGATAAAGGTATAATTTTGCCTCTCCTAAATGGGTGAGGGTGGTGGAGGCAGAAGCCCAGTGAAGGCTAAAAGAGTGTTTTGTCTTCAGAGTTTTAAACACACATATATATAATAACATACACATATATATACACACACACAATATAGATACACAATAGCTTATATATACATATATATGCTTCAAATCAGCACATTTATTACTTAGTCTTTTTTTTTGAGACAGAGTCTCGCTCTGTTGCCCAGGCTGGAGTGCAATGGCACTATCTGGGCTCACTGCCACCTCCACCTCCCGGATTCAAGCAATTCTCCTGCCTCAGCCTCCTGAGTAGCTGGGATCACAGGAGACCACCACCGTGCCTGGCTAATTTTTTGTATTTTTAGTAGAGACGGGGTTTCACCGTGTTGACCAGCCTGGTCTCGAACTCCTGACCTCAGGTGATCCACCCGCCTCGGCCTCCCAAAGTGCTGGGATTACAGGCAAGAGCCACCGTGCCTGGCCTCCTTAGTCTTTAATAAGCCTTGTATTCTATGCAGAGATGAATGCAGGGAACTCCCAGCTATCAAGCAGTCCCTGGCACACCCAGACACCACTGAGTCTTTTCTTTTTAGGTTGTATCAGAATCATTGCCACTGGCTTTCCACATACTTCCTGTCTTTCCAACACCTGTAGAACTGCATAGTGCTACATTTAAACAATATACTAGAGCTAAACAATGAAAGACAATGATAGCACAATGACAGTAAAGGCAAAGGAACAAAACTTGAGTTACTTCCATTCTTCTTTTGTTCTGTGTGACCAGTGGAGGCCTCTGTGTGTAAAATTAAACAGAGAGAAAACTACATGGTGTAATATTTTTCTTTGGTAAGTACAAACTTTGGTTTACACATGAAATAGTTTACTGATTACTGAATATGTAATAGTAAAATTTATTCTTTTGTTAATTGTCAAAATTAAAGAAGGAATCAAGAAAATAAAACAATATCAGAGATATAATTTATTGGATTTTTGATTTTGGATGTGAATTTTAGGTAGGATTAATTAAACACAAAAATATTTGCAAACAGCTAGATTTCAGGCTTAAACAATTTACAGCAAAACATCAAGCTTTAAAGTTGTACCTTAAAAATCTAGGCAAAAAATTTGTGCAGAAGGTTAGCAACTATGCAACATAAAGTGAGAACATTTACATGTACATGGAAAAAATAATTACATTTCAGAGAAGAGTGCGAAGAGAAGTTACGAAAGCAGCCACATTGCCAGAAAAAATCACAAGGGCAATGTCTCAAAACCTTGAGTATTTTCACCAAGAACTGAATATCCATTGTAACGCAATAAATTAAATAATGGTAATGTTCACTATGATTCAGTGATGTTTTCTGATTTTTTTTTTTTTATTGAGATGGAGTCTCACTGTGTAGCCCAGGCTGGAGTGCAATGGCGCAATCTCAGCTCACTGCAACCTCTGCCTCCTGGGTTCAAGTGATTATCCTGCCTCAGCCTCCCGAGTAGCTGGGACTACAGGCGCCCGCCACCACGCCCAGCTAATTTTTTGTATTTTTGGTAGAGATGGGGTTTCACTGTGTTAGCCAGGATGGTCTCAATCTCCTGACGTCGTGACCTGCCCGCCTTGGCCACCCAAAGTGCTGGGATTACAGGTGTGAGCCCCTGGGCCCGGCCCTTCTGATTTTTACAAAAGAAAACCTGTAGAAGTTTTTACAAATATAAGAAATTTATGATGAATTTTCAGATAGAAATAATTTAGTGAAATGATTTTTTGACTATAGAGATGTTTGAAAGTTGCTAGAATTGAGCCAAAAAGAAATGTGGACCATATTGCAGTTTCTGGAATTCATTGTGAAATGGGATTTTTGTGAATATCTGCCAAACTTATACTTACTGAAGTCAAATAAAATAGAGATGAATCTCTAAATTTAAAACATTTTATGTAGGAAGCAATAATTGCAATTTGGGGCAGATAGACCAGGTGGCCTTCAGTATATCTGAAGAACAAAGAGAAGGTTGTACGTTTTATAAAAAGGGGAAATGTTACTTATTGTTTTTCCAGAAAGTTCACTGGTACCAGTAAAGTGTTGGGGAGCTGGCAAGCTCTGATTGGTGAGTGATGGTTGTGGAGAAAACGTGTCTAAGGGTCTTAGCAAGTTATTTCAGCAGCTATTAGATAAAGCCAGTTTCAGGGTACAGCAGGCAGTTTCAGCAGCCAGACTTGCAGAGAATTACATTCTTGGATCAATTTCATGTGCCCTGAGTGCTTTTTCCCTTTAGCCTCGAGACTCTGATTTAGTTGGGTATGACAAGAATGACCCAATTTGTATGATCAACTTTCACATCCTTAAGCCTTCTTCTAAAGATTCATATATCTTTTCTTTTTAAAAGAATTTTTTTAAGTTTATACTAATAAGAAGTATTTTTATTAACTATGATTGAAGATAAAAGGATATATCTAGCTATAATATCTATAGATCATAAATATATATAGAAGAAAAATTTTTATAAGGTCACTGAAGAATTTGCAGAAGTTAAGGCTTGAGAACATAAACATAATTGTTAATTCATTATTTTGATAGCTCAATATGTAGGAATACATTTGTTTGTTTTAAAAAATATATCTACATAATTAAAAGTGCTATCCATTGAGGTTTTTCCCTTTTGTGTATTGTAATTATTTTACTTTCATTTTCTTGATTATATATACAAAATTCAATAAAGAAAATATTCACTGTGTTTTTCTCATCATTATCATTTATCTCTATTATTATTACTGCAAATAATTTTATTATACAGAGGAGGAGGGTTTTAAAAATGATCAACTCTGAGTGTCAAATATGTTAGGTACAGAATGAGGTGAGGCTGAGGGCTTGCAATGCAGCCAGGGAGAGTGGTGAAATTCTGTAAACAGAGTAACTGGAGGCCCCACTCCCCTCGTCAGTACACACAGTGCTGCCCTTGCACAGGCAGACGTTCTCACCTTCGGGTCTTGCATTTGTGTTTCCTGCATCTGGAACACACTTCCACTAAACACTTCCATGACTTGTTCCCTTACTTCCTTTAGGTCTCCCATCAGAGAGATTTCCTACGCCTACAAAAAGACCACCCCCTGTCACTCTCTATCCCTTGACCCTACTTTATTCCTCTTTAATTAGTTCCATGTGATACAGTATACATTAATTTGTTGATTTTGTTTTTGTTTGTCTCTCTCAAATGGAATCCAAGCCCATGAGATCAAAGATGTTGTTTTGCTCACTGCTCTATACCCAGCACCTTGGACATCACCGGACATATAGTAGTCAACTATTTTGGAGTGCATTAATGAATTCACTGGAGAAACAGAACCTGAGAAACTATATACTTGGGGGTATGCTGAAAGACCAGAACAAGGCATGAGTTTACACACGAGGAAATTCAATGAAATTCTCTCTGCTCAATTGTGTTACCTTCTGCGTCATTCTCCAGCCCTGACTCCATAAAGTCAGTGTCAGCCACCTATTCCCTCCTCTCTATTATACCCCGGGCAAGATGTTGAGAGATTCCATTTCAAAGAAACTGAGGGGCTAGGGAAGAGAAGTTTAGGTAGTGATATGTGAGGTCCCCAAAAAAAGCTAGTTTGCTTCTTGATCACTTTGTAATGAAGCCTACCAATGCACTGGCTCCGCTTAAACATCTGCAGAACTAGAAACCAACCACCCAGCACCAGACTCTTCGCAGCCAGCCAAGAATCACCCGATGTTTGAGTAAGACTGCTAGAAGAAAACAGAGATAAGAGTAAACAAACTAAAAATGGAAATAGACAACAGAAAGCAAAAGATAATGACAACAACAAAAACACACAATAATCAGTGTTCCCAGAGGGATAAGAGAAACTACATCCAAAAAAGCAAGATGAGATGTTATATTTAACAAGAAACAATCAGGGAATAAGAGCTTTCAGAGCAGAATAAATACATATCTTTTTAAAAATCAAAGAAGAAAGAAGAAAGAAGGCCGGGTGTGGTGTCTCACACATGTAATCCCAGCACTTTAGGAAGGAAAGGCGGGTGGATTGCTTGAGCTCAGGAGTTTGAGACCAGCCTGGGCAACATAGTGAAAAATATATTATATTATATTTGTGAATATCTGATACTATATTTGTGAATATATGCAAACTTATACTTACTGAAGTCAAATAAAATATAGAGATGAATCTCTAAATTTAAAACATTTTATTTGGGACGGAATAATTGCAATTTGGGGCACATAGACCGGGTGGCCTTAGTATGTCTGAAGAACAAAGAGAAGGTTGTACATTTTATAAAAAGGGAGCTTACCATCATTAGTCACCAGGAAAACATAAAAATTAAAACCATGGTAATATACTATTATCCTCCCAGAATGGCTGAATTAAAAAATACTGAGAATACCAAGTTTTGATAAGGATGTGAACTCTCCAATATCCACAGTATAAAATGATAAAACCATCTCATAAAACTGTTTGGCAGTTTCTAATAAAGTTAGATACACACTTATTTATGACCTGGAAATTCTACTCCTAGGTATATATCTAGAAGAAAATGAATGCATATGTCTACAAAAAGGCCTATAGAAAAATGTTCATAGTAGCTTATTTACAAATGCTAAAGACGGAAAACAGCCCACATATTCATTATCGATAAACAGATACACATACTAAGGTGGATTCATACAATGGGATATTACCAAACAATACAAAAGAATAAACTACTGATACATTTAACAACATAGATGACTTTCATAAGAATCATTATGAGCAAAAGAAGTCAGACGTAAAATAGCACATACTGTATAATTCCATTTACATGACCACTGATCAGGTCAAAGTAAGGTTGTAAGGTTCTTATACTATACATGAATTGATGTAGGATTAATTAAAGATAGAATGTGGTAAATTAAAAAGGTATGCTATAATTTCTAAAGCAACCACTGAAATGAAAAAAAACAAAGAGCCAGTAAATGAGCAATAAATTATAAAAATATTCAATAATCCAAAATAAGGCAAAAAGAGGTAAAAAAGAACAAATGAGACAAACAAAAACCAAATTTTAAGATCATAGATTTAAACCTAACCATACAGATAATCAACATAAAGTATAAGTAGTCAAAGTAAAAGAGGTTTACCTCAAGTAAAAGAGGTTTTCAAATTGGATTAAAGATAAGCCCAACTATACTTATCCTACAAGAAATGCATTTTAAATATAAACACATAAGTCAGTTAAAATAAAACAATATACTATGGTAATATTAATCAAAAGAAAGCTAGAGTGAGCCTTATTAATATCAAAAAAGTTGATTTCGAAGCAAAGAATATTATCACAGATAAAGAAGGTAATTTCATAATTATAAAGTTGTTAATTAATCAAAAGAATGTAACAATCCTAAACACGCTCCTAATGACAGTTTAAAAATACATGACGTAAAAAATAACAGACCTACAAATAAAAATAGACCAATACACAATTATAGTCAGAGATTTCAATACTACTCCATCAATAATTTAGAATAGAAAATCAACAAGGATATAGAAAATTTGGCAACACTATCAGCCAACTTGAATTGCTTGATATTTATAGAACACTTGACCCAACAACAGAAGAATAAACATTGCTTTTGAGTATACATTAAACATTTACCAGACCATATTCTGAGCTATAAAACAGAATGTAAGCATTCTACAATTGAATTTAATTAGAAATCAATAACATAATGATCTCTGGAAAATCCGCAAATATTTGGAACCTAAACAACACACTTTCAAGCAACCCATAAATCAAAGAAGAAATCAAAACAGAAATTAAAAAGCATTTTAACTGAATGAAAATAAAATACAGTATATCAAAATTTGAGAAATACAACCGAAACGTTACTTAGAAAATGTTGGCACTAAAGTACTAGATTAGAAAAAGAAGATAGATCATTGACCACAGCCTCAATTTTTTAAAAACTGGGAAACAAAAAATTAAACCCAAAGTAAGCAGAATAGGGAAATAATAAAGATCAAAGTGGAAATAAATAAAATAGAAAATCAGCTAAACCAAAAACTGGTCAGTGAGCAGGTCAATAAAATTGATAAACCTCTAGCCAGACTAACAAAAAAAAAGAGAGAAATTACAAGTTGCCAATATCAGAAATGAGAGATGTGATATCACTATAGATTCCACAGATATTAAAATGGTGATAAGGGAGTATTATGAACAAATTTATGTCAATAAATTTGACAAGTTAGATGAAATAGACAAATTCCTTGAAAGACACAAACTGCAAAGCTCACCTAGGAGGGAATACATAACCTGAATAGCACTATATCTATTAAAGAAATTAAATTTGTAATTAAAAGATTTCCCACAAAGAAAATTTCAGATTCAGAAGGCTTCACTGATAAATTCTACCAAATATTTAAGAAAGAAATAATACCAACTATACATAAACTGTTTCAGAAAACTGAAAAGGTGGAATAATTCTCAATTCATAAAGAGTCCAGCATTATCCTGATACCACACTAGGCAAAGATATCGCAAGAAAAGAAACTACGAAACAATGTATCTCATGAAAGTGAATGCAAACATACTAAATAATTGTTTAGCAAACTGAATTCAAGA
This sequence comes from Homo sapiens, assembly GCF_000001405.40. Classification (NCBI taxonomy): domain Eukaryota; kingdom Metazoa; phylum Chordata; class Mammalia; order Primates; family Hominidae; genus Homo; species Homo sapiens. The sequence goes on from NC_000001.11 coordinate 234,352,857, forward strand.
ATATCATCTAAAATGGATAATATACCCTGACCAAATGGGGTTTATCTCAGGAATGCAAGGCTGGTGTAACATTTAAAAATCAACCAGGCCAGGCGCGGTGGCTCACTCCTGTGATCCCAGCACTTTGGGAGGCCAAGGTGGGCAGATCACTTGAGGTCAAGAGTTCGAGACCAGCCTAGCCAACATAGTCAAAGACTGTCCCTACCAAAAATTAGCTAGGCAGGGTGGCACACACCTGTAGTCCCAGCTATTCGGGAGGCTGATGCAGGAGAATCACTTGAACCCAGAAGGCAGAGGTTGCAGTGAGCCAAGGTCGCACCACTGCACTTTAGCCTGAGTGACAGAGCAAGACTCTGTCTCAAAAAATAAAAAATAATAAAATAAATCAATGTAACTCACTATATTACCAAACTAAAAAGAAAACCATATGATCAATAGACACACACACAAAATCTTTTGACAAAAGCCCATATCCATGTATGAAATCTCTCAGAAAAGTAGGAATAAAAGGATCAACCTAATAAATGGCATCTACAAAAAGCCTATAATTAATATTACTTAATGGTGAAAGATTGAATGCTTTCCACCAACAATCAGAAACAAGAAAAGGATGACACTCAACACTCCTGTTAGACATTGTACTAGAGGTTTTAGCTGTTGCAATAAGCTAGGAAAAAGAAATAAAAAGTATCCACATTGAAAGGAAAAAGTAAACCTGTCTATATTCTCGGATAACATGATCATCACTGTAGAAAATATGACAGAATCAATGAGAAATGGCAGGTCTGAGATATGCTCTTACCTTTTTCCAAGTAATCCTCCTTGAACTTTTTGCTAACCTCCTAGCCACCCAAAATAAAGGCTACATTTTCCACTCTCCTTGCAGCAAGTTGTGGCTTTGTGACTACTTGTTGAAATGTGAGTAAAAGTACTTTGTGGCAACTTGTAGAGACTTTCTTAAAAAGATAACTGGTATACACCATGAGGTAAACTTGGGGATAAAAGGAGCCTGACTGAATCCCTTCATGGAGTAGAGTTGGCATAGCAACAATGGACAACCTACCTCTGAACTTTTACATAAGGGAGAGATACAAACTTCTATCTTGCTTAACGCATGACGTTCAGTCTTTGTTACTTGCAGCTGAAGAAATTTTAAAAATTTGTTTAAATCTCCTTGAAGACAAAATTAGAAGAGATGGAATACAAGAAAAAAATAGTGGATCAATCCAATAAATCCAACATCCTACTAATAGTTCAAGAAATACAGAACAGAGAAAAGAGAGAGGAAGAAATTTCTCAGAACCAAATGACATGAGACTCTAGATTAAAAATACTCACCAATACTCACACTAGCTAAAGATATGGAAGAGACTCATATTAGGGGATGTCACTGTGAAGTTTCAGAATACCAAAGAAGATCCTGAAAACTTCCAGAAAGATAAGTAGAGAATACTTACAAATTATTAGTCAGAATGGCTTCATATTTCTCAATAGCAGCATCAGAAGCCAGAGGACAAATAATCAAATGCCTTCAAAATTCTGGGGGAAAATTATTTTCAGCTTAGAATTCTAGAGCCAGCTAAACTCTCAATCAAGCACAAGGACAGGATAAAGATGTTTTCAGATATTCAAGGGCTCAAATACCCGCTATGTACCCTTCCAAAAGAAGACTGGAAAATATGTTCTACCAAAACAATGAATTAAAACAAGAAAGAAGATGACATGGGATCCAGGAAAGAGGATATCTGACACAAAGGGAAGTCTCCCAATGAAATTTTTACAAAGAGCAAGCATTACATACTGAAGCAGAAGGAAGAAGTTTCCAGGAAATAAAGACATACAATTGATATTTGACTGAATAGAAACATATTGTTAATATACACATGGGAGAAACAGTGAAATAATTGAAAAGCATTAACAATAGGTAGATAAAAATTCAGGCCCTCAAAAAGGCTAGTATCAATCACAGGAAAAAGGAAGGAGAAAAAAGAAAGAAAACATACAAGTAGTACATTACATGGCTCGGCAGTGCACTGCATTGGTATAACCATAATAATGTAAAGAATAACAATTAATTTAACCAAAAATCATACCAAAATTAAATTAGAGGAATGTAGGAAATGTAGTTAGGAAGAGAATGTAAACCGGAATGGAGGGCAGGTGCACAGAAAAATGGCTTAAAATTTGGACTTCCTAGCCAAATTGCCTTTTTTCACATCCCAGGACACCTACTAGCTGTATGATCTTAGGTAAGTTACTCAACTTCTTTGTACTTCAGTTTCTGCATCTGGAAAATGAAGATGATACTACTTACTTCAAAGAGTTATCATAAAGATAAAATGAGTTTATATCTATATATAATGTACTGATAAAAATACTTGGTATAAAGTAAATAATAAATGTGTATTTATCATATCATTAACATGGTAGGAAGTCAATATATGTTCTCTAAACTTGAAAAGTTAAGAAATATTCTATATAGAAATGTGGAGGTAAGGAAAATGGAAGAGTTGAAAATTGGGTGAAATAGGGGATAGACTATTGGCTTTCATAAAATCCTCGTAGACCTCTTCGATTTAAAATAAACTTTGTGGCCAGGCGTGGTGGCTCATGCCTGTAATCCCGACATTAGGGAGGCTGAGGCAGGCAGATCACTTGAGTCCAGGAGTTCGAGACCAGCCTGGCCAACATGGCAAAACCCCATCTCTATTAAAAATACAAACATTAGCTAGGCGTGGTGGTGCATGCCCATAGTCCCAGCTACTCAGGAGGCTGAGGCATGAGAATTGCTTGAACCCCAGATATGGAGGTTGCAGTGAGCCAAAATTGCACCACTGCACTCTAGCATGGGAGACAGAGCGAGACTCTGTCTCAAAAAATAAATAAAAATAAAATAATAAAGAAATAAAAAATGAAATAAACTTTATACATAGACTACTATGATAAAAATAAAACTTAATTCCAAACAAGGTGGCCTTCTTTCCAAAAGCCCTCTGCCTATTGAAAGATAGCTGAGTGAGACTTAATGAGCTCTTCCTTCATATAATGACATTTGCTATATTTGGCCAACTTTCTGCTCCACCATTAAGCCCGATTATCTTTGCTGACACTTAGAGCACATTTACTTTAGATAGGAAATCGAAGGCCAAACAGAAGAGACAAAGTCCCTACCAAGTAAACATGGCCTCTCCCCAGAGTACCACACAAGATAATATATCACATTTTCTATAATAGACCTTAGGGGTTCAAATCCTGGATCTGCCATTTAGTAGCAATGTAATTTTTGACAAGTAATTCACCTCTCTATGTTTATTTCCTGTGAATTGTACCAAGTCTGCGAGGAAATCTATAGGTCATGCCCTACCTTCTTAAGAATCAGCTCTTAAGGAACAGTCATTAGTGTAATGTTAGGCAACAATTTTAGTGAACAGAAATCCCCAGAGCAACCAGAGAAAGCAGAGCACACTCTGTTCTGAGAACTCTTCAGTAAAATAGAAAGCATGTCCTGAACCAGACCCCAGGCCCTTCATTACACTACCCATCTCTGGTACTTGGAAGATCATGAGATAATAGCCTAGGGGCTATAATAGCCCCTAGCCAGAGGCCCATTTACTAACCCCACTGGTATAAATGGAAAAAGTTTTATAATTTAACTCATTAAACTTAATGCAAAAGTATAACATAATTAGGAAACACACCTTTGATTTCTCTAAAGATGAAAATACATCTGGGGATTGAAAATCTATGAGGTGTGAAGGAAAGGAGACAGAATATTAGCTACCACACTTATTTGCATATCTTTTTTTTTTTTTTTTTGGAACCATGTGCGCCTTTATTAGCTGAGCCACTACTTGAGAGGGATGAAGCAGAAGGAGTGGGTGGCGCCGATGCCGGACCGGCATTGCTTTACGGGCTTGTAGGTGATGGAGAACTCGCCCAGGTAGTGGCCAATCATCTCGGGCTTGACCTCCACCTGGTTGAAGGTCTTGCCGTTGTGGACGCCCACCATGCTGCCCACCACCTCGGGCAGGATGATCACGTCCCTCAGGTGCGTCTTCACCACTTCCGGCTTCTCCATGGGCGGCGCCTCCTTCTTGGCCTTGCGCAGGCGCTTCAGCAGGTAGTGCCGCTTCCGCCGCAGGCCCCGGTTCAGCCGCCGCCGCTGGCGCGCACTGTACAGCTGCATCAGCTGTTCGTAGGACATGTCCAGCAGCTGGTCCAGGTCCACGCCGCGGTAGGTGAACTTGCGGAAGGTCCGCTTCTTCTTCTGCTCTACTTCTGCCATCTTGCCGGATCCTCAGAAAGAGCTATTTGCATATCTAAAGGTTGTTTTCCTGATGAAAGCAATCACCATTGTTAACAGATGTGAGCGTAAATGGCTAACCATCATGATCAAGAAAGTTTCAGCTGATAATAAGCTTCAGTATTACTTAGATAATGCTCTTTTATACTATTAATATTCAAGGTATTTATTTAAAACAGACCAATGGATTTCCATGAAAACCTTCTCTATTGCCTAAGTGACTAAGGTTCATGCTGGCACTACTAGATTATTTTAAAATTTTCAGGAAATTCAGGCCTACTTCGATTTTTAAAATCATGCATCCTGGTTAAGTTAAAACTCTATTTCACTCTTCTCCCAGGTCACATTTAAAACGTTTCATATAACCTCAAAAAACACAAGCAAAAAATGAAGTCTCTAATTGAGCTTGTGAATTCTACAACTCTTCCTACTAACCAAGTGGATATTAAAGGGGGTACAAATACCTGAAGGTTTTATGAAGGATTTATTTGATAAAATTCATAATGTATTTAGTTTTCAATCAAGCTTCAAAACATAGAATGATGATTCAAATGTCTGGGACAGGAAAGTCACTGCAATTTCAAGGAACTCACAGTAAGTGTCAAGAGCCTCATCCCTGAGGCTTGGTGAAAGGTTTAAATAAGATAATGAATGTAAATCATGTGTACTGACTACATAGTAAGTAATCAATAATATCTGCTACTATCATTGAAAACTATGGACTGGATGCCATTATACATGGGAGTTCTGTGGTTAGATAAGCATAGCCCAAAGATTCTTAATAATCACCAACCTGGAGGGAAGTCACTGTTAGGGATATGATGAGGGCTATGAATTTTGTATGCTTTGATAGTCTAGTTAGAAAAGCATAATTGAAGATGTCTATCAAACCTGCAGGGGGTGGCAGTGCTAGAAGAGATAATTCCATAGTTTGAATGACAGACTCAAGATCAAAAGGAGCTCAGACTGAGATGATGGGCTATAATAAACAAGATATTTAAGCATGTTATTCTCCTGCTTAATTACTTTCAGTGGCTTTCTGTTGCTGACCACTGAATGCCCTCATGTCTCAGCATGGCATTGAGTACCCTCTACATTAGAACCTTGTCTGGATTTTTTTGGTATCTCCCACCACTACCCTACAGATGCCCATCTCTTTATCTGAGCTTCTTCTTGTTCCCAGATCTTGCCCCTACCGTACTACCTGTTTCTTCTTGCTATAGACTGAATGTTTGTGTTCCCCAACCCCAAATTCATATGCCCAATGTAATCCCCAATGTGAGGGCATTTGGATTGGAGGTAAAGCCTTTGGGAGATAATTAGTTCATGAGGGTGGAGTCCTCATGTATGGAATTCGTGCCCTTATACAGGAGACCCCAGAGAGCTCCCTTGCCTCTTCCACCTTCTGAGGACACAGGAACCAGGAAGCAGGCTCTCAACAGACACCAAATCTGCCAGCTCCTTGACCTTGGACTTACCAGCCTCCAGAACTCTGAGAAATAATTTTTGATTTTTTATAAGCCACCCAGTTTGTATTAGTCTTTCCTACACTGCTATTAAGAACTACCTAAGACTGGGTAATTTATAAAGAAAGAAAGGTTTAATTGACTCACAGTTCCACAGGCTGTACAGGAGGCATGACTAGGGAGGCCTCAGGAAACTTACAGTCGTGGCAGAAGGCAAAAGGGAAGCAAGCGTGTTTTCAGGTGGTGGCAGGAGAGAGAGAAAGAGTAAAGGGGGAAGTGCTGCACACTTTTAAATAACCAGATCTTGTGAGAACTCTGCCACAAGATAGCACTAGGGAGATGGTGCTAAATCATAAGAAACCATCGATCCAATCATCTCCCACCAGGCCCCACCTCCAACGTTCAGATCACAATTCAACAGGAGATTTGGGTGGAGACACAGAGCCAAATCATATCACAGTTTATGGTATTGTTACTGCAGCCTGAACAGGCTAAGATGGTGCCGGCCTGTCTCCCACCTGTTTCTGAACATCCTATTCATCCTGTTTGGCTCAACTCAAAAGTTACTTCCTTCATGAAGAAGTTCCCAGTCCCCCAAAATCAAATAAGCACCAAGTCTGCCCTCGAGTGCCACCTATCTCACACCACTGCCTCATATTGGATGTCTTGGTGACCTTGGTCAGTCCTCTTATTAACTTCCAAGTCTCTTAAAGGCAGGAACTGTTTCCATTATGCAGACTGCATTCTTAAAAGTATTCATGAAACAAATAAATAAATGATATATGTGAAGTCCTCTGTTCGTGGCCAAACCAAAATCATTTCAGGGGAACAGGATGAATGAAAAATCACATCTTAGGGTTGTAGCTGCTGTAAGTAGAATAAGTGCAAATATCGTGGGCACTAAAAGCTAATAAAAACATAGGGTACACTATCCAGAGGACAGAATAACTCTCTGGTTACCAGATGTGAGGCAATTAACATTCTATGTGGGTTCTGATTATTGAATGCTTAAAGAATTGCTCTAGTGTGGGCTAATGGTGGGAAGGGGCTTCACCTGTAGTGTGTTGAAGTCTCATTTACTATGCCAATAACAGCACATTCCTCACCCTGGAACCTGAGTAATCTCTATACATCCTCAGGCCTAAAGAGACAAAAAAGCTCAAATCTTAGGTCTCTCATGGCTGGAAAGGGGACAAACTGGTCGAAAGTATGGCTTCATCTTATGTTATGGTGGGAAATAATAGAATATTGGCTGCTATGAGGGATAGGCTGGGAGTCAGGTGGGAGGTGAACATTAAGAAGGAGAGGGACTGACCTGAAGCCTACGGAGTGTTGCTATCACTCATCACAGGGTTAATTTTGAGAGGCATCTATGTTTGTGCAGTTGCGTTTTCTGTAAACATTATTGTTTTGCTCCACTATGGTATTTCTTAAAGTGTTTTGGAAAAGTAAGGAAAGAGGCCGGGCACAATGGCTCACGCCTATAATCCCAGCACTTTGGGAGGCTGAGGCAGGTGGATCACTTGAGGTCAGGAGTTCGAGACCACCTGGCCAACATAGTAAAACCTCATCTCTACTAAACATACTAAAATTAGCCAGGTGTGGTGGCACACGCCTGTAGTCCCAGCTACTCAGGAGGCTGAGGCAGGAGAATCCTTTGAACCCGGTGGGTGGAGGTTGCAGTGAGCCGAGATAGCACCATTGCACTCCAGCATGGGTGACAGAGTGAGACTCTATCTCAAAAAAAAAGAAAAGAAAAGGAAAGAGATTAGATTAAGATTAAGTACCTACTTCCTCTCCCACTTCAAGTCCTGGAAATAGAGGATCAGAAATGTTGAGGAATTCTTTAGGATAGAAAGGAGATGGGATTTTACTTATGGGAAGACAGCAAATAAAGACTGCAACTTAACACATACACAGGTGAAAGTGTTAGCAAGAGTAGGAACCATTTGCTCTACATAACTCCAGAAAAAACTCATACTAAAATGAAAACATAAAGCAGGCAGTTCTGAGCAATTCCCATCCTTTCTCTACAAAAAGAGAGACGGTACTAAATAAAACATAATTTAGCAATCACAAGCATGAACAGATAGACCACAAAATTTACCGAGCATTTAAGCAAGATCAACACTATGAATGAAGACATTAAACCAAAAAGTCAGAGGCACTACCATCTAAGGAAAAGGAATAAATTATAAATTAAAAGAACATAAGAGAACTAAAATAAGGTGTAATTAATGTTTTCAAAAGATAGCATAAAACAAGAGCAAGAACAAATTGCTTTATCATATGGGATCTAGCCTTCAGCTCTGAATGGGAGATCCTATTACTGACAAAGTCTGTCTTTCCAAAATGGGGTCTTTCTCTGTTCAGTTCAGAAGCCAATACACAAAAACAAAAGTGAGCATCAAGCAGTTCAGGTTTCGTTCGATGGCCATAGAATTGAGAAGTGGGAGCTTGGCTCACAAATCAATTTCATAGCTCTTGCAAGTGAGTATATCACAAATATAGGGCATCTTTAATGAAGGGGTTAAGCATTAAGAGCAAGAGGAGGAATATTCATGTCTTTTCTGGGAATGGGCAGAGAACCGCTCAAAACCAGAGTGCGCTTTCCTTTTTGTCCTTTCATGGTTTCCTCTGGCTGTTGTCAGGGTGATTGTCAACTGTCATGGCACTGGTGGGAGAGTCGTTTAGCATGGACATTAGACTATAATGAAGTTAGAGGTTCTTCAGAGGTCAAGTGAGCTGCCATCTTGGATCCAGTCTTAGTAAGTTAGATCACAAGGGGGAAATTCAGACCTCAGGCATCCTGTTTCCTAAAGATAAGCAGGGTTAAGACAGGATAGAAATTCACCTAGGTCATGTAGGCATTACAATGTGTAACAATCCTAAATATCAACTCTCATGACTGGCCTAGGACCTTGAAACAACAGGAACTATGTCCAAATACCATGAAACTTTCATGTAGTATCAGTGTTAATGTCAGTATGTAGATTCTTTGGCTTGCAGGGAGGACTTGCGTGGCAGAAGTGCTTTGGTAACAGAAAAGAAAATTTAACTTGTGAGCTCTTTCTTCTCAGGTAGCACGAATGTAACAGACTCCTGTATGACAAAATATATTTTCCCAGGAATGGCAAGCACCCATTTTTGTCCAATTCATGGTTCTGGAGGTACTTACAAATTAGTGTGATGTTCATAATAGTTGCTCTCAGAAATTGCAGAACAGTTTGCAATTTTTTTTTTTTAAAAGGGGTCTCGCTCTCTTGCCCAGGGTGGAGTGCAGTGGCGTGATCTCGGCTCACTGCAACCTCCGCCTCCCAGGTTCAAGAGATTCTCCCACTTCAGCCTCCTGATTTGCTGGGACAACAGACATGCACGACCATGCCCAGCTAATTTTTGTATTCTTTTGGTAGAGACAGGGCTTCACCATGTTGGTCAGGCTGGTCTCGAACTCCTGACCTCAAGTGACCTGCCCGCCTTGACCTCCCAAAGCACTGGGATTAGAGGCATGAGCCACAGTGCCCAACCACATTTTTATTATTAAACAATTCATAATACTCTTAAAGATGTATGCTTAAAGGTCTAGAGTGAGACATGATACCAATTTGTTATACTGACAGCCAAACTTTGTACACTAAACTTGTAAATATTTTTTACAAACACATTTAGTAAGTATGTAATTAAATGTTTAGAAAATTAAATAAAAACTCAACTCATTATAATAATAATGATTTATTGTTTCATAGACCTTGATTATCACTGGTTTTGCCTTATAGATTTTAATAGATAAGTTTGAATACTTGAGCATAACCACATCATGAAAATATGTAAAAATAACTTTTTAAAAATTCTTTACATTTACTTTAATTTACATTTTTTATAAATATATATTTGGTGTAATTTGAACACAATTATATTTACTTCTTAATTCTTTTAGATCTGTATACAAATTATGTGAAACTCCTTCTGTTTTTTATATTTTATTTTTTGCCTAAGTTCTACCTCAGGATCTAGAAACTCTTTCTTTTAACAACGTAGTTAACAATTTTGCTGAAACAAAGGCAAGAAAGATACATTTTACAGAATACATACTTTTGAATAGATTATTTTGTTGCTGAATCAAATATTGCTGATTCATCAACAGGACTGTAATAATAATTAAATTCAGCCATCTTTGACATTTTGGCAACTTTATAAAAACCATACCTTTATACATCTTTTTAAATGTTGCTGTTATGAAGGTACACTTGTCAAGGTACAGGAAAAATCATTTTATTTTCAGCTTGATTCATAACTTTTAAGTACCAAGCATACGAGGCATGGGTTCTCATTTATACTCTTTTCCCACCTACCAGAAACAGGCCTGGTCAGACTGGAATAATTTCGGATGCAACTGTAATCCTTGTAAATGAAAATAGGTTACAATCATCCATTAAGAACAGAGATTCTCAGCTGGGCGAGGTGGCTCACGCCTGTAATCTCAGCACTTTGGGAGGCCAAGGTGGGCGGATCACGAGGTCAGGAGATCGAGACCATTTTGGCCAACATGTTGAAACTCCGTGTCTACTAAAATACAAAATAAAAATTAGCCGGGCATGGTGGCGTGTGCCTGTAGGCCTAGCTACTTGGGAGACTGAGGCTGGGGAATCACCTGAACTCCGGAGGTGGAGGTTGCAGTGAGCCAAGATTGTGCCACTGCACTCCAGCCCGGCAAGAGAGTAAGACTCTGTCTCAAAAAAAAAAACAGAGATTCTCACCGAAGAATTTTCAGTGTCACCGTATGCTCTGTACAAGAGGTGAAACTAAAACTAAAACAAAATGACCCAAAAAAGGATGCAAATACATGATTTTTAAAAGATACGCTAAGGAAATGCTACAAAAATGAAAGGAAATGAGGTAATATTAATATCAGTTAATAAAATTCAAGGCCAGAAATGTTAAATGAGTAAATAAGAAATGTATGTTGATGGTATATGTAATCATATATACCTAACAAGATAGCTGTAAGCTATAACTGTTAGAAATATAAACAGAGACAAATATATAATAATTGTGACATATTTTAATATACTTCTTTCAGTGATTAAGAAAGCATTTAATAACAGCAACAGCAATAAAAATGTGTGGGTTTTGAGTGAATAGCACAATGCAAGCTTAGCTGTATAGATGGATGATGGATGGATGGGTGGATGAATACATACATACGGCTGGGCGCAGTGGCTCACGTCTGCAATCCTAGCACTTTGGGAGGCCGAGGCGGGTGGATCATCTGAAGTCGGGAGTTCGAGACCAGCCTGGCCAATATGGTGAAACCCCATCTCTACTGAAAATACAAAAAATTAGCCGGGTGTAGTGGCGCATGTCTGTAATCCCAGCTACTCGGGAGGCTGAGGCATGAGAATCGCTTGAACCCAGGAGGCAGAGATTGTGGTGAGCCGAGATCGCGCCACTGCACTCCAGCCTAGGCGACAGAGGAAGACTCCGTCTCAAAAAAAAAAAAAGAATATATACATACATACATATAGGTTGATAGCTAACTAGGTAGATATATAGATATACAGATACATATACAGTTGATAAATAGATTTGCTCAGCTATAATATTATAAACTATAAATATTACAAGCTCTCATGGATGAAATTGATATCTTAAATCAACGGGGAAAGAATGGAATATTCAAAACTGGTGTTGGCATATTGGACAATGGACGTGCGAGCAGGTTTTAATTTAAATAGGGAGAATTGCTTAGGACTTGATGAGCCAAGACTTGGAGGCGAAGAAGTGGTTGGAGAAACCACCCCAGGCAGAGGAACCCCAGGGGTCAGCCAATGCAAGGCTCTAAATTAGGAAGTACTCAGTGAGGCTGAGAACAATAAGGCACTAAGTTCTTTTAGGTTCTCAGGCCTTTGCACTTATCTCTGCTTCAAATGCCTCCTTTTCCCTTCCTATCTGGGAAACATTCACTCTTTCTTCAGTGTAGCCTCCAAGTTCACTTGCTCAGTGAAGGCCCCTCTGATTCTCCCAGAAAGGATGTGCTACCCCATCCTCCGTGCTCACAAGCCTCGGCCCACAGCTCAGGATTAGTTTTTATTACAGTGTGGCTTTAGGTTTTCATATCTGACTTCCCCACCAGACTATGAACAAATCAAAGGCAAAGATTGCGTTTCATTGAGCTGTGCTTCCCCGAACATCAGGCATAGTGCATAAGACACACTCACTCCATAAACCTTTGTATGTCAAATGAGAGATATTATGTATTAAGCAGTCCAATTCCTCTTTTCACTGTGCATTCTTCATGCAAATGGCAGCTGTGTCTTAGGTGTTTCCCATATGTAGCGACAAGGTATTATGTACTATAAGGAATAAATGGGAAATTACCAAACCCCTTCTCTAAGCAGAACTGAGGGCAGGGATTTCACATCAAACAGACCATGAAATAAATGGAGAGGGCTAATTTGTATTTATTTATGTATTTATTTATTTTTATTTATTTATTTATTGAGAGAAAGTCTCGCTCTGTCGCCCAGGCTGGAGTGCAGCGGTGCGATCTCAGCTCACTGCAACCTCCGCCTCCCGGGTTCAAACGATTCTCATGCCTCAGCCTCCCAAGTAGCTGAGATTACAGGTGTGCGCCACCACACCCAGTTAATTTTTTGTATTTTTTAGTAGAGACAGGGTTTCACCATGTTGGCCAGGCTTGTCTCGAACTCCTGACCTCAAATGATCTGCCTGCCTCAGCCTCCCAAATTGCTGGGATTACAGGCATGAGCCACCGTGCCTGGCTGCGGAGTGGGCTAATTACAGAACATGTTGTACTGGCTAGGAATACAAAAGCCATCAGGAAAAGGCCAAATGAGTGTGCTCTCCTGTCACTGAAGGCTTCTGAAAGGATATGGGCCAGTGCATCAGATTTTGTTGCTGAGCAGGTTGGAGAAGAGCATCAAAGGTGAGAGCAAAGGTAAGAACCAGCATAGATGTGGGAATGAGTGGGTGGGTGCACCGGCCAAGAAGGGGCCTGACTGAAGGACCAGGGAACAACCAATAGGTTATGGAAGGCTGGAGTCAGATTGCAGAGACTAGAGACTCCTAATATCAGGCTGAGAAATCAAATAGCTGTTCATCATTTGTGCCTGAGGATGGATCAGAGCAACGTGATGAAAGTGGCACTTGTGTAAGACTTGCCCAGCAAAGTAGGGCAAGGATGGATGCAAGGGAAAGAATCTGGAGCCTCAGGCCAAGAAGAATCAGGATCTGTTATACAAGGACCCAGGTATGGGGGCTTGAAAGCAACTTGGGGGCTAGGACTGTGTCTGG